>NT_187633.1:0-152067 GCF_000001405.40 Homo sapiens
AAGCTTCAGCGTGCATCAGACACCTGAAACTCTAGCCACAGTTGCAGGGTCCCCGTGCCTCTGGCTGGAGGCGGGTCGGCCCTGTGCGGTAGCGGAAGGGAAGAGAGGAGCCGGTGGGTGCGGAGGGCGGGGACTGGCTGGGTCCCGTGGGGGCGGGTCCCGGGAGGAGGCTGGGCTGGCGCCCACTTCGTGCTTTGCAGGACTCAAGAGACCAACACTTGGGAGTCACCACACATGGGAGAAAAGTCACCACACATGGGAGATGGATGGAGGGTTCTCCAAGGCAGTTTAAGCAACAGATGTTGGAGCTGTTATGCCCGGGGCACAGTCTTAGCCCATAGGCCCAGTCGCAGCTCTGGGAAAGGGAGAGATGGGAGGGAGAGACAGAGGACCCCGATTTGGAGGAAGGTAAGAGATCTCACAGGCTCACCTTTGCCCCTCTCCACAGCTGGCTGCTCGGTGCTGGTGAACACCTCTTGCAGGCTGGTGAACCTCACCGCCCACCTGAGGCAGAAAGCAGGGTTGCCCCCAGATGGTGAGGAGACAGGGAGGAGAAGGAGGGGCTGAGGGGTCCCAGGCAGGGGTGCCAGCCCTGCCCAGTCTCTCTCCATGTCCTCCCAGCGACCATTGCTCTCCTGGCTGAGGATGGCAACCTAGTGAGCCTGGAGGAGGACCTGAAGGAAGGGGCTTCCCGGGCCCAGACCATGGGCAACTCCCTACTGAAGGAGCGAGCCATATATGTCCTCGTTCGGATCATCAGTAAGGTGGCCCAAGGTTCTCTCCCCTGCAGCTATGGTAGAATGTAAGAGGGGGGCATAGCAGACCATAGACCACCCAAGGCCCTGTCCGGCCTCCCACCTCGGCTGGGGACCTAGCCCCAATCCATCCCTACCCAATGCTCTGCTCCCAGCCTGGACTAGCAAACAGTTCCAGAGTGAGAGGCAGAGTAGGGACCATTAGGCCAGTCAGGTGTCCTTCATCGTCTCTCCACATGTCACAGAGGGAGAGGACATGGCCTCCACCCGCTATGAGTCCCTATTGGAGAACCTGGATGACCATTACCCAGAGCTGGCAGGTGAGTGTCAGGGTACAGCCCAGGGGGAGGGCACACCTTCTCCCTAACCCCTACCAACAGGACTTCCTGGGCCTTCCAGAGGAACTGCGCAGGCTGTCAGGCCTCTCCTCTGTGGGCCACAACTGGAGGAAGCGTATGGGCACTCGGCGAGGCCGCCATGAGCAAAGCCCCACTTCAAGGCCCAGAAAGGTGAGCTCCCTGCCACCCAGGAGTTGCTAGCTGGGGCAGGGAGCCAGGTACAGAGCAGATTTGGACATCCACAGAGACACCCAGAGTGGGATCCCTTCCTGCAGGACAGACACATATGATGAGGGGCAGACCCTCAACACCAACTCCACGCACATATACCCCCAGATGGAACACACTGTACCCTGAGACAGGTCCCCACCACCCCACGGGAGTGCCAGCGCACTAAGGGCCGGAATGTCCTCAGGCTTCACAGATGTGGCATAGGGGCTGGCACACAGTAGGAGCTCAGTGCACAACTGCTGGATGAACTCAATGAAGGCGGCAGCATGGTGTGTGATGGCACGGCCCACACTGGGTTTGAAGGGCTTGTTCTTCCATTCTGGCAGGCTTGGGGACCTGGCACACTACTGCCAACTAGCCAAGTTGGACTCAGACCCAAGGGGGTTAGCCATGACCTCTGCCTTGTGTGATCAGGTGCAAACAGACAACAACCCAGCAGGACTCCTCTTGCAGAATCTGGAATTGCTGAGAAGTTGCATCAGCAAGAGGGGCAAGGTCAGACAGGATTTGAGGCCGCCAGGGGCACCTAAGCTGTGGGTGCAGAGAATGGGATGCAGAGGTAGAGACAAGAAGGGTAGAGGTGGCAGGTATCCCTGATAAGGGGGAGACCATGGGTTCATCCTGGGATTCCACCCTCAGAGTCAGATGCCCTTGGGATCACCGACTAATGCCTCTCCACCTCACTCTGGACTGCCCAAGGAATCTGTCCTGTGCTACCCACAGTGCAGATTGCAACAGGGCTCCTCCTCCCCACCCAGGGCCCTGATTAAGGGGATGGATTGCACACTGTAGTGAGACATCCATCCTGACCCCACCTCATCAGCCAGGGAGCTCCCTGAAGACAGGCCATCGAGAGAGGCACACAACAGGCTGTGGTCTAAAATAAACTTTTAATTGCACATTTGTGTCTTGGGTTATCTGTGGGGTGAGAAACCTCCTCACTTCCAATCCCAGCTATCTGGGTACAATCTGGTGTTGTGGTCTGGCTGTCGGCGAGGGGTAGAGGTGGGTGCAGGACTGGCCCCCGAGTCTGCACCGACCTCTTCAGGGCAGGGAGCTCAGACCTGGGAAGGGAGGGGCAGCACAGGCTGGTGGTCAGCCTGCAGGTGCAAGAGGAGGGTTGGCCTCTCCCCCTCCCCGCCTGAGTCGGGGTCCACTCACTCACCATGGTAGTACTTGCACTGCTTCAGGGCCTCGCTGAAGCCCTCACACAGGGACAGGTCACTCTGAGTGGTGGAACAGTCCAGGAACTGCCTGATCTCGTAGGCGCAGGGCCCCATCTGCAGGGGCTGGGGGGCAGCGGGGGTGGGGGCCTGGGGGTACAGTGCAAGAGGCTGCAGGATCAGCTTGGAGTTGGCACCTGGAGGTGCGTTTCAAACCTGGGGCCACCTGCCCCTCCCCACATCCCCAGCCTGGGTGTCCCAAGGGTCCTAGGCAGGCTGAGTGATCCAGCAGCAGAGGCGGCTACAGACAGCATGTTTCTGCTGCCTTTTTTTTTTTTTTTTTTTGAGACAGAGTCTCACTCTGTCACCTAGAGTGGAGTGCAGCGGCGCAGTCTCGGCTCACTGCAACCTCCGCCTCCCGGGTTCAAGTGGTTGTCCTGCCTTGGCCTCCCAAGTAGCTGGGGCTACAGGCGCCCGCCACCATGCCCAACAAATTTTTTGTATTTTTAGTAGAGAGGGGGTTTCACTATGTTGGCCAGGCTGGTATCGAACTCCTGAACTCATGATCCACCCGCCTTGGCCTCCCAAAGTGCTGGGATTACAGGCATGAGCCACTGCGCCTGGCCTCTGCTGCCTTCTAATGGGCACTTTGGGCGGGTGCAGGAGAGGGAGGAGAAGGCTCTAGGAAAGCCCAGTACTCTGCCTGTACTCTCAGAGTATGAGCCCCACCCCCACAAGTTCTAGCACCTTCCTGGCTCAGCTACACTAATCCTCATGACCCCTGACCTAGCCACAAAGCCACATTTGGCTTACGGCGGTGGGGTTCCTAGCAGGGGAAAGGTCATCAGGGAAGTGGCTCCCCTTCGCCCTTGCGCCCAGCGGCCACAGTGCCCAGACCTGGGTGTGGGGAGAACAGGGGCTCAGGAAATCCAACATCCCTCCCCTCTGCTAGGGTGAGGTGACCTTGGGCGAGTCTCTGAGCCCTCAGGGCCTGGGTTTCCCATCTTTAAAGGGCTGGTTGGTGTCTCTCCCTGGGAGCTTAGGGACCCTGGCCTCAAGGGAGAGGCCGGGAAGCCTGCCTCTAAGTGACAGTGAACTCAAGACCAGTGGACTAGGACCCTTCCCGGGCAGAGTCCTGGGCTGAAGCAATGGTGAATACACGCGGACACTCCTCACTGGACACTTGGGCAGCTCCCTGTGTGGCCTCGAGATAATCCTGCCTCAGTTTCTCTTGGACTCGCTGCTCACCTGCTGGACAGCAGGCTGGGAGGGCTCCGAGCTCCCCCCGCTGAAGGCTCCGGTCAGGGCGCTGCCCATGACGTGTCCCACAGCCGAGCCCACGGCTACCCCTGCGGCCGTGGTCGCCATCTGAGCCATGAGCCCCGGCTGGCCCGAAGGGGCGGGGGCTGGGGCGGCTGCCGAGGGCGGTGGGTGCGCGGGCGGGTGGGCAGAGGGCGCGGCTGGGCGGCTGCGGGGGTGGGAGGAAGCAGGGTTAATCCTGGCCAGACCCCAGGCTGGAGGGCTGCAGCTCCTGGAAACGACCCCCGGAGAGATGGACGACCCACGTCTCCACACGTGGGTGCTGCACCCCCACCCCTCCCCCCGCCAAGATGGCGCAGCAGCAGCCAAGGTCACTCTGCGGACGCCCTTAGGGGAGTGCCCACACTTCCCTAACCCCCTCCCCACAGGGCCCTTGTCCCCCTCACACCTGGCTGGCCGGGAGGCCGCGCTGCGGCTTCCCCGAGGCATGGTGGCGGCGGTGGGACCCGGGCGACCTTAGAGACGGCGGCAGCGGTGCTGTCGCGGGGACAAATGCCGCAGCGCTTGTCACAGCCGGCGCAAAAAAGGCGGGGCCCCGGGCGGGGCCTCAGGAACACGCCCCCAGCGGGAGGCGGCACTGCCCCCAACCCTATCCCCCTTCTCCCGTCCTCCGGACATCTCCCTTCCAGCAGCTCCGGGTCTCGGCTGGAAATGGGACCCTGCTCCCTCCCTGCGCCTGGCAGGCTGTGCGGGTTCTGGGGACAGGGGCCAGTGTCGCAAAGCGCCGAGGGCTTAAGGAGGGCGACAGTGCCTTCTGTTAGGACCACCGCAGAGGGCAGGGAGCGGAGTTGGGGGTTGTTGCGAGCCCTGGAGGGGAGAGGAGACGGGGAGGCGACGGGATGGGGCCAGCTGGGAAGGGGACGCGAGGCTCCAGGCTGGACTCCGCTCTCTGCCCCCTCCCGGACTCGGCTGTCTGTCCCCTCCCTCCAGACAGGGTCTGCTGACCACCGCGTGGCCTGGGAGTCTCCGGTGGCCTAGGGAAGTGAAGCGCGGCCCTGGGGAAGGCCTGGAGCAACCCATCCCCAGAACTCCCACGAGGGGGCGTCCCAACCCGTCTTCGACTGTTGGCCAAAATGCGCTGCCAATGCTGGCAGCCTTACGCAGTGCCCGCGGGGGATATGAGGCCCCCCGCGCGGCCCTGAACCCCACCGGATTCCCCGGGCCGGCCCGACCGCCCCCACCTAGTCCCTGGCCCCGCGAGTGCAACCCCCGACACTAACGGCCTTTACGCGACATCCGAGCAGCGTGTCTATCCCAAAGGCCTAGGAGCATTTGCCCGGCTCGGTCAAATCTAGCGCAAGTTTGAAGCCTGCGGCCTCGCAATTTTAGCAGCTTCGTTCCAGGCCAGGTGAGCTGGAGCGCGGATTTAGAATGCTTTCCTGCTCTTCGAGAACTTGAGGTTTTAATTTTACTTTTTACTTTTTTTTTTTTGACACGGAGCCTTGCTCTGTCGCCCAGGTTGGAGTGCAGTGGCGATCTCGGCTCACTGCAACCTCCACCTCCCGGATTCAAGCAATTCTCCTGCCTCAGCCTCCTGAGTAGCTGGGACTACAGGCTCGTGCCACCACACCTGGCTAATTTTTGTATTTTTAGTAGAGACGGGGTTTCACCATGTTGGCCAAACTGGTCTCCAACTCCTGAGCTCATGATCCTCCTACCTCAGCCTCCCAAAGTGCTGGGATTACAAGCATGAGCCATCGCGCCCGGCTGAGCTTGAGGTTTTTATGGTCTTTTCTGGGTGACTTTGCAGTGGTCATATTATTACTCCTAGGTGGGGGAAGGTAGGGACTGTCCCTCATCACTGCTGTGCCTGCAGAGGACTCCTGACACCGGGATTGTCGGCAGGGTGCAACCAAGAGCAAAAGCACCCAGAAGTGGGGGTGTGGGTCACCAAGTAAGAGAGGAGGCCCCTCCATAAGGAAGGAGCAGGTCAAGGGGCAAGGGGAGTGGTGGCTGGGGCGTTTGGCCCTGCCTGGCATGCTCAATTCTGTGTGTGCACAGCTGTCCCCAGCCATGCATGCTCTCCATGGAAGTCAGGTGCAGCCCTGTGTTCTCTCACACTGCAGTCCTTTCAGCCAGCCTGTGAACAGGGCCCTTCCCCGCCCTGTCTTCAGTTTCTCCTCTCTGAAGGGGGGTGACCACCCACCTTGAGGGTGGCCTCCCAGTGAGGTGAGCACACCAAGGGTGGGCCATTCTTTCCTGGCAGACTCACCAGGCCTGGTCCAGCCGCTACTCCCTTGTTCATGCAGTCCATGCCACCTGGTTCCTGTTTGCCACACCAAACAAACTGAACACTTCTCATGGTGGTCCCCGGGCCTAAACTGCAGAGAGTTGTTACTTCAGCTCCCATGGCTGATGGACTGCAGGTTCCACAAAGCATGGCCTTGCACCTCGGAGGCACCCAAGACCACTTAAGTGGGTTACACAAATGAAAATGAGGCTGAAAGGATGACACTGAAGCAGGCATTGAAATGCCAACTTTTTTTTTTTTTTTTTTTTGAAACGGAGTCTTGCTCTGTCGCTCAGGCTGGAGTGCAGTGGTATGATCTCCACTCACTGCAACTTCTGCCTCCTGGGTTCAAGCGATTCTCTTGCCTCAGCCTCCCGAGTATCTGGGACCACAGGCACATGCCACCATGCCCCGCTAATTGTTTGTTTTTTGTTGTTTTTTTGTTTTTGTTTTTGTTTTTTTAAACAGAGTCTCACTCTGTTGCCAGGCTGGAGTGCGGTGGTGTGATCTCAGCTTACTGCAACCTCCACCTCCCGGGTTCAAGTGATTCTCCTGCTTCAGCTTCCCAAGTAGCTGGGACTACAGGCACGTGCCACCATGCCCAGCTAATTTTTTTTTGTATTTTTAGTAGAGACAGGGTTTCACCATGTTGGCCAGGATGGTCTCTTGTGATCCGCCTGCCTCAGCCTCCCAAAGTGCTGGGATTACAGGCATGAGCCACCACGCCTGGCCTGAAATGCCTACTTTTTAAAAATGAGTCACTTTAGCGGGGAATAGTGGCTCATGTCTATATCCCAGAACTTTGTGAGTCCCAGGCAGGCAGATTGCTTGAGTCCAGGAGTTCGAGACCAGCCTGGCCAACATGGTGAAACCCTGTCTCTACAAAAAATACAAAAATTAGCAGGGCATAGTGATGCACACCGGTAGTCCCAGCTACTTGGGAGGCTGAGGCAGGAGGATCGTTTGAGCCTGGAAGGCGGAGGTTGCAGTGAGCCAAGATCACACCATTGAGCAAGACCCTGTCTCAAAATAATAAAAGTAAATAAAAGTGAGTGACTTTAAAGAAAAGATTGCCTTTCAGGCGCGGTGGCTCACGCCTGTAATCCCAGCACTTTGGGAGGCCGAGGCGGGTGGATCACCTGAGGTCAGGAGTTCAAGACCAGCCTGGCCAACACGGTGAAACCCCATCTCTACTAAAAATATAAAAAATTAGCTGGGCATGGTGGCGGGCGCCTGTAGTCCCAGCTACTCGGGAGACTGAGGCAGGAGAATGGCATGAACCTGGGAGGCGGAGCTTGCAGTGAGCCGAGATCGCGTCACTGCACTCCAGCCTGGGCGACAGAGAGAGACTCCGTCTCAAAAAAAAAAAAAAAAAAAAGAAAAGATTACGAACAGTGTAGGTTGTAAAAATTACTGCTGTCTTACTTCTCCTCGCCCTCTAGGAGTCTCTGTGGAGTCTTCTTGAATAAGCTGTGAAACATTTCCCCACCCGCTTCCCTTTCTTGGCCCAGGCTTCCTGACCACAGCCTCACCTTTGAGCAGCTCAGAGCCCTGCCTGCCAGGATGCGAGCCACTGCCTGGATCGTGGCTCTGCAGGGCCACCCATGATGGAACAGGTCGCCTGGTGAGGTGGTGAGGCCCTTCATCATTTCAGGGGGTGTACAGCAGTACTGGGTAACCCCGAAAATCAGGGATGAGACTGAAGGATCCCTTCCAGAATGTGGACACAACCCCTCCTTTGAGTCTCACCTCCTTTCCTTCTTTTTTTTGAGATGGAGTCTCGCTCTGTCACCCAGGCTGGAGTGCAATGGAACAATCTCGGCTCACTGCAACCTCCGCCTCCCGGGTTCAAGTGATTCTCCTGCTTCAGCCTCCTGAGTAGCTGGGCTTACAGGTGTGTGCCACCACACCTGGCTAATTTTTGTATTTTTAGTAGAGACAGGGTTTCACCATGTTGGTCAGGCTGCTCTCCAACTCCTGACCTCGTGATCCACCTGCCTCGGCCTCCCAAAGTGCTGGGATTACAGGCATGAGCCACTGCGCCCGGCCTCTCGCCTCCTTTCTTTCAAGTCTGAGGTGGCTAGCCTGGAGGGGTCCCCAGGGGCTTGTTGGGCACTGACGAGGGGACACCCTGGGGGCCCAGTACTCCACTCAGACACCTCCCACAGCCTTCTGACAGCATCCTTCCCACAGCTGACCAGCTAGAGGACCTCCTGACCCCTCCACTTGTCTGCTGGTGTGGAAAAGCCTGGACCCTCCCTCTTGGAGCCTCAGTTTCCCTATCTGTAAACTTCGGTCTATCCCAAGCTGAAGAACTGGCCAGTCCCTGCCATATGCCTCACTTTCCCCTGGGACACATTTTAATATCCCTTTCCTGGCCAGGTGCAATGGCTTCCCCATGTAATCCCAGCACTTTGGGAGGCCAAGGTGGGCAGATCACTTGAGGTCAGGAGTTCGAGACCAGCCTGGCCAACATGGTGAAACCCCATCTCTACTAAAAATACAAAAATTAGCCAGGCATGGTGGCGCACGTCTGTGGTCCCAGCTACTTGGGAGGCTGAGGTAGCAGAATCGTTTGAACCTGGGAGGCGGAGGTTGCAGTGAGTGGAGATCACACCACTGCACTCCTGCCTGGGAGACAGAGTGAGACTGTGTCTCAAAAAATAATAATAATAAAAAATAAAATAATATCCCTTTCCTCACAGGGGCTATTGTGTCATCTTCTAGAAGGATCCGTTGAGGCTCTGAGGGGTGGGGGAACTTGCTTGTGGGTAGGACCACCTGTCAGAGGTCAGAGGTCAGGCCACCAAGGAGACCCAGTGGGATGCGCCTTCCAAAGGTGGGGGTACGGATGGGACCCATGAAACCTGACTCCTCTCAGACTCTAGCCAAGTCTAAGACTTTGGACGGCCACCACCCAGAGGAGAAACTGAGACCCAGAGCGGCACGGGTTGGCCAGGGTCACCCAGCACCAGATAGGGACTTTGCCAGCCCCGGGGCAGGACCCTGTCTCCGGCCCTCGACCCCGCTGGGCCGTACCCTCCCCGTTCACCTCCCCCACCCGGGCCGCGGCTGCTAGGAGAGTTCAGAACAAAAGGCGGCGGGGGGCGGGGCCGAGGCGGGCCGGGGGTGGGGCGGAAGCTATAAGGGGCGGCGGCCCGGAGCGGCCCAGCAAGCCCAGCAGCCCCGGGGCGGATGGCTCCGGCCGCCTGGCTCCGCAGCGCGGCCGCGCGCGCCCTCCTGCCCCCGATGCTGCTGCTGCTGCTCCAGCCGCCGCCGCTGCTGGCCCGGGCTCTGCCGCCGGTGAGTGCCCGCCACTCGCCGGCCGCTCCTCGCTGAGGGGGCGCCGGGCACGCGGGCTGGGCCCAGCGGCGGATCCGGACCGAAGGGGGCGCCCCGGGTGGCCTCCAGCGCCCGGTACCCGAAACGCTTTCTGGTTCCCTCTAGGCGTGATAGACAGCGAGCTTGCAGTCCCTGGGGGTGTGAAGGGGAGCCGGCGCCGGCATCGTTCGGGCTGGTGGGACGGGACTCCACGCTGGACTCACGCTTGCTCCCAGCGTGGGGACCTGCCTCTCGCGCTCCAGCCGCGGGTGCTGGAGTGTGCGTTGAAGGAAGCAGCAGAGGGAGTGGTAACAGGGCCCCCTATTCATCGCAGGGACAAAGCCGAGCAGATCCCAGGCAGGTGTCAGCCTGCAGGTGTGTGGCCGCAGTTAGTACACCTCCAGGTGTGCGGTGGGATGAAGGATAAAGGGAGAAGGGAGGGCAGCGCTGTGCTGCGGGAAATGGGGTCTAAGCCTGGAGATGTCCCCCGCGGGCACCTGCCGGCAGCAGTTTTGGGAGGCTTGGAGCCAGGAGAACATGAGTATGAAATAGTATGAGTGCAGTGTGTGTGTGACTGAGAGGTGGCTGTCAGAAAGAAGCGGGGAGAGAAAGGAAAGGGAGAAAATGTGTGCTCAGGAGAGGAGAAGAAAGCCCAGGTAAGAGAGGACAGCAGAGTGAGGAGAGGAGGGACTGTCATGGAGTGTGTGTGACAGCTTGCATGTGTCCCAAAAGCTGCCCCTTCCCTGGGGCGCTTCCAGGCACCAGTCACAGGGCCTGGGGCCAGAGCCTGGGCCACTCCACTCCACAGCGGAGGCATCCAGACAGCTCGGGCAGGGAAGGGAGCAGGAGGGTGTGACAGGCAGGAGTCTCAGGACTGGCCTGGTGAGGAGGCAGGCCTGGCCAGGCTGGGACCCTCTGTCCAGCCACTCTGGCTCTGCTCAGGGCAGCCTTGTCCTGTGCTGGCTATGGGAGCAGAAAGGGATGGGATGGGTGGGGTAGAGTGAATGGGGGGCATCTCAGTCTGGAGTCTTGCCTCCTTCCCAGCCCCTCTTGGTTCCTAGGACTTGGGACAGAGTCAGGAATCACTGTGGGTAGACATTGAACCACAGGTCTGGAAATTGGAGAGATCTGGGTTTGAACCATGTGACCCTGGGTGAATCCTGCCATGCCTCAGAATCTCACCCACTCCATCTCTAATGGGAGTGCAGGTGGGAGGGGGCAATGGTGCCTACTGCTGTGTCCACTGTTGAGCAATGAGGTGATGCCAGGCTCACTAGAAACACTGTCACCTGTAGCTGCCACTTTGACGCTTGTGCATGGTCAGTGCTGGAGCTGGGGGCCAGCTTGGGGTGGGGTCTGAGCTGGACTGTGGTCTGTCACTCTGCAAACACGCAGGGAGCATGTGGGGTCACCTCTGATGTGTTTATCCCCCGGCTGCCTTCAGCAAGGCTGGGAGAGCTCTGTAAATATTTATCCAGCCCAGTTCCCAGCTTTCAGGGTTGATGGAAGCCCTGCAGTCCGATGGATGGGACGAAGCTACCGTCCCTCCTGGAGCCAGCAGCAGAGGGGTGAGAATAGGAAGATTAGGTGGAAGCTTGAGGGAGAAGATATCCCTGCTTGCCACCTGGCTGTGTGAGTTGGGCAGGTTGCTTGACCTCTCTGAGCCTGCATGGTGATGCTCCCGTCTTCCTCCATAGCCTAACAAGTGCCCTCCTCGAAGTCTTGCCTCCCACCGACATCAGAAGGCATAGCTATGATTAATTATACCCACTAGACCAACTGCAAACTGAGGCCCAGAAAGGGGCACAATGAGCCCAGCCTTTCGCAGTGTTTCCTGGCACCCTGGGGTCCTCCCTTATCTCCCCTCTATCTGGTGCCTCCCATTTTCTGGATTGCAAGTTGACCCCAGGGCGGGGTTGACTCCGAGTCTCTAAGCTCTGCCAGGACACTGGGTCAGCTGAGAAATTCCTTGAATGTGTCTGCAGCTGAGGTTTGGTGTCTGGCAGAAGAGGGTGGGGCTGAGTGAGCTAAGAACCCACCACAGGGCAGGCCAAGGGAGGCTACTGGCCAAGACAGAGGGAATGCACTGGAAGCAGAAATGCTTCTTGGGAAAGTGGGTTTTGGAGAAAAGCCAAGAGCTGGGGAGACAGGGGGAAGCCCTGGAGGTGGGAGGCATGAGCCCCAGGTCTAGGTCCAGCTCTTGCATGACTTGCTGTGTGACCCCGGGCAAAGTCCTTGAGCTCTCTGGGCTCTGTCTCATCCTCTGGGAAATGGGGGAGCTGCTTCTTCCTCAAGCTCCCCAGGGGTGTAGATGAGGCCAGTGGTGGCCT
The DNA here is from genome assembly GCF_000001405.40 of Homo sapiens. Classification (NCBI taxonomy): domain Eukaryota; kingdom Metazoa; phylum Chordata; class Mammalia; order Primates; family Hominidae; genus Homo; species Homo sapiens. The sequence continues at coordinate 11,689 of NT_187633.1, forward strand.
GTGTCTACCACCTCACCTCACTGAATCCTGAGAGTCCTGGGAAGGCCAAGCCCACCTGTCTCACAAGTAGCAAGCTGCTTCATGCCGTGCCTTGTAGTTAGGGCATCTGGCCCCAGGCCAGAAAGGACTTGGAAAGATGAAGTGTGGGAGGACAGTGAGGCAGAATGTGTGTCCTATCCCAGCCATGGGGAAACTGAGGCCAAGAGCTCATGGGCTCTAAAAAAATAATGGGCTCTAAAAACAACCTCACTAGCTAGAGGCCTCATTTCTAGCATCTCCTGCTCACTCAGTTTCTAAGAATTTAATGAACAAGACAGGGACAGGGAGAAGAGACCTTGATATGTGGGAGACCCTGCACAAGGCGCTTCTCTTTTCTAGGCCTGAAAGCTCCCTTCTAGCTGCAACTTCTGTTTTACCATTTAAAGCCTGAAGATTTTGTTGGGTAGCTAGAGGGGCGGTGGGTGATGGGAACTGTAGGGACTGGCAAGGGCAGATTCCCAAGCGTGGGAGGGGAGGGCCTACAGGGACAAGGAACAGGGCCAGGTAAGAGGTGCTTTTCTGTGCCAGAGGCTACAGCAGGCATTACAGAAGGATGTCATGTAGCCCTTTGCTGTGGCATCATTCCCATTTGACAGATAGGAAAGTTGAGGCTAAGAGAGGAAGGTGACTTGTCTAGAGTCTCCATGTCATAGAACTAGGCCTTCTGAACCTCAGTGGCTGGCTCTTTTTGTGACACTAAGACTGTCATGATCCAGGGGTTTGGGCATGGACTGGGTGCCTCATGAGGGAAGGACAGGAAGGGACAGTGGAAGGGGTGGGGGCATGCCCGTGGCTCTCCCTCCATGACTGTCTGCACCAGGACTCACTAGAGGGCAGAGGAGAGAAGAGATTTCTGACCATGGGCATAGCAGGGCTGGCAGGCTGGGCTCTGGGTTGTTTGGAGCTCCCAGGGGAGAGCACAGCTCTGCCCTTTCCAGGGAGGGTCTTCATACCCCTGCCAGGCTGGGGAAAGGAATCTGTTTCTCCTGTAAGTCAAGGGGGCAGTGTGGCGAGGAGGAGGAGGCAGGCCCCTCTGGCAGCCCACATCCTCCATGGGAGAACTTGGATATGTAGCATCTCCACCTGCCTGGTGGATATTGGAAGCCCAACGAACCTGCCTGCAAAATGCCCGGGAAATAGCAGGCGCTGAATAATTTGCACCTCACCAAGGTGAGGCCAGCCTGGGTCCCTCCTTCAGGGGAAGGGTAACTCAACCCCTGCAGAGCAGAGCAGAGGTAGCAGGGAGCTGGGTGGGCTGTGAGCACAGACAGTCCGCTGCCTGCCAGCTGTTGTCTGATCAAGCTGCTTAACTCCTCTGGGGCCCATTTCCTCATCCTGGAAATGAGGGTGATGATGGTGGAGTTGGTGAGAGGTTCCATCAGGGGCTAAGAGCAAGTCTGTGGAGCTGTTGCCAAGGTCCTAGCCTGCAACCAGTGCTAAGTACTTTTTTTTTTTTTTTTGAGATGGAGTCTCGCTCTGTCACCCAGGCTGGAGTGCTGTGGCACGATCTCGGCTCACTGCAAGCTCTGCCTCCCAGGTTCACGCCATTCTCCTGCCTCAGCCTCCCGAATAGCTGGGACTACAGGAGCCCGCCACCACGCCTGGCTAATTTTTTGTATTTTTAGTAGAGACGGGGTTTCACCGTGTTAGCCAGGATGGTCTCGATCTCCTGACCTCATGATCCGCCTGCCTCGGCCTCCCAAAGTGCTGGGATTACAGGCGTGAGCCACCAGGCCCGGCCAACCAGTGCTAAGTACTTATTAACAATAAGCCCAGGCCGGGCGCGGTGGCTCACGCCTGTAATCCCAGTACTTTGGGAGGCCGAGGCAGGTGGATCATGAGGTCAGGAGTTCAAGACCAGCCTGGCCAAGATGGATAAACCTCATCTCTACTAAAAATACAAAAATTAGCCAGGCGTGAGGCTGGGTGCGGTGGCGCATGCTTGTAATCCCAGCACTTTGGGAGGCCGAGGCAGGCGGATCACAAGGTCAGGAGATCGAGACCATCCTGGTAACATGGTGAAATCCCGTTTCTACTAAAAATACAAAAAAATTAGCCGGGCATGGCAGCAAGTGCCTGCAGTCCCAGCTACTCAGGAGGCTGAGTCAGGAGCATGGCATGAACCCGGAAGGCGGTGGTTGTAGTGAGCCCAGATCACACCACTGCACTCCAGCCTGGGCGATAGAGCGAGACTCTCTCTCAAAAAAAAAAAAAAAAAAATTAACCAGGCGTGGTGGCAGGCACCTGTAACCCCAGCTACTCGGGAGGCTGAGGCAGAGAATTGCTTGAACCCGGGAGGTGGAGGTTGTAGTGAGCCGAGATCGCGCCACTGCACTCCAGCCTGGGCAACAGAGTGAGACTCCATCTCAAAAAAACAAAACAAAAAACCAATAAGCCCAGAATCGGCCAGAACCCACAACCCAGTGAGACTGCGCTGTGCCAGGTAACCATGCAATAAGCAAGCTCGGAAATGGGGGGAAGCTGCTTCAGGGCCTCACGCCCTAAGTAGTTCCATAGCCTCCGTGTTCAGAAGGCCCCCCTTCATGGTGGGGTGTTCTTGATGCCTCAGCTCTGGGATCAGGAGCAGGGAGCGTTGGGACGCTGATCAGATCCCTGGGGTGTATGGAGCCTGGGAGAGCTGCCAAAGGCTGAGGGTGAGGTGGGGCCTGAGTGGCTGAGCTCCTACCCCAAATATGGCTGTGAGGAGGCTGCAGTTGCCCAGACCAGACAGGTGCTGAGTCTCTCAGCAAGCAGCACAGCTCCATCCCTCTCCTTCAGTGCAGGAAGGACACTTGGCTTCTGTGCGGTGTCCAGAGCCAGGCCTTAGCCTTAGGCCTGAGCCACCAGAGTCCTGGCCTGGCCTTGCCATGCCCTTGCTGGGTGACTTTGCAGGGTCTCCAACCTCTCTGAGCTTCTGCTTTTCTCATGCACAAGAACTGTAACTTCTGCCCTGGAGACTTATAGACAGGTAGCAGGATGTAGCTTAGGTCTGAATCGCCATCTGTGGTCCTGGGGCTTTGGCGAGTGGGGCTGGGCACCTGGTAATTAACTGTCCCCACCCTCCCCGCTTGAAGAAGGCAGGCAGATCACAGATCAGCTCCCACTGTACTCCTAGCCCTGGTGGGGTGTGACCAAAACCACCTCTGCTAGAAGCCAGGCCTCAGTGGCCAGGTGCCTTCCCGGGTGCTGGGCCTGTGCTAGGTGCTGTACATACCTCACCTTGTCCAGTCCACAAGTCAGTGTCACCCCCAGCAGTCAGGTTACACTGACTGAGGCCACACTGCAGGGCTACAGCCGCTCCACACTGGGGAGGAGGTGGGGGAAATCCTGGGCAGGAGAGAGGGCAGATCCTGCTCACATGACAGGGACAGGAGCATGACCCAGGTGTGTCTGAACTTAGCGGACACAGGAAGAAAGGGAGTTGGAAGCAAGTTTCTGTGGGGAGCAGGAGGAGGTTGCCTGGTGTTCCTTCGGAGGAAGCTTTTTGGGGTCCATTCCTGGAGTGTATGGCTCATAGCCAGTCCCAGTGTGCCCCCACCCCCAGACCTCATTGGCCTAAGTAGCTGGAGTAGGTGACAGGCAGCCCAGGGCCCTCCACGATGTGGGGGACAGCTTGATGCCTTGGAACAAGGTGCCAAGAAACCAGAGAGCCAGCCAGATGCCAAAGGGCCCTGCCATGTGCCGGTGCCCTTTCCCTCTCCATTTGCCCAGCCACACAGTGGGCTGGGGTTGCACGTGTGTTTGCTGACAGGCCACATCTCTAACTGTGGGCCATGTGGACCTTAGGCCTGACCAGACCCTCATGTCATCCTCCTGCCTAGGACGCCCACCACCTCCATGCCGAGAGGAGGGGGCCACAGCCCTGGCATGCAGCCCTGCCCAGTAGCCCGGCACCTGCCCCTGCCACGCAGGAAGCCCCCCGGCCTGCCAGCAGCCTCAGGCCTCCCCGCTGTGGCGTGCCCGACCCATCTGATGGGCTGAGTGCCCGCAACCGACAGAAGAGGTTCGTGCTTTCTGGCGGGCGCTGGGAGAAGACGGACCTCACCTACAGGTAGGGGCCTGGGAGCAGGACACTAGGATGCCACCTGTGTGTCCGTGGGTAAGCCAGCTGCCCTCACAGCTGCTGCTTGAGACACAGGCCAGGGTAGATCTTCGTGTCTAACAGACCTGTGTGTCCACTGAACCCCAGGGAGGTCATCTATGGGCAAACCCCCTGAAACCCCAACTTAGACACATACACATATGGAGACCCTCCCTCAGCAGAGGGGCAGAGCCTCCGTCATCATGCAAAGAGTCGCAGCACATGCCTGCGGACGGGTGTTCAGTCACTCAGGCAGCCTTTACAAGAGACCTGTGAGGACCAGGCTCTGGGACTCCACGGTGAATGAGGCAGACACAGCCCCATCCTCTGTGTCAGTCTGAGGTGGGTGTCAGCCATGTCATTGTCCAACTCTACCATCACAACTTGGGCTTCGAGCAGGTGGAGACAGTGGTAAGCGGGGAGAGGCAATAGTGGGCATCTCACTGGGTGACCTGGGAGGACCCTGGGCAGGTGATGGGGAAGCTGAGGCTCACACATCCTGCGGGTGGGGACCCAGCCTGAAGAATGGGCTGGTGTCACACAGCATTGGAGCTGAGACTGGGGTCTTTAGAATTTCCTAGGTGGGGGCCTGGGAACCAACAGGGGCTCAAGGAACCAAGGTGTCCCCACAGTAAGTGGCACTGTCAGGTCTAGGATGGGGGTCTCGGGACCCCTGGTCCTGGTTCTTTCCACTGAATTCAGACACTTGTATTTGCCTAAGTATGAGCAAACCACATACACATGTGCCCATGTGGCCAGGGAGACCAGTGCGCTGAAGCTGAGGCCCAGAGTACACCTGGCCTGTGTCCTGAGTGTTCACACACCCACCAAGCATCCAGGGGCAACTCCTGGTGCCTCAGCCATCGGGGGCTGTCCCTTCCCTGAGGCCCAGGCCCCTCCATCTCCCTCCAGGATCCTTCGGTTCCCATGGCAGTTGGTGCAGGAGCAGGTGCGGCAGACGATGGCAGAGGCCCTAAAGGTATGGAGCGATGTGACGCCACTCACCTTTACTGAGGTGCACGAGGGCCGTGCTGACATCATGATCGACTTCGCCAGGTGAATGGGCGGCCTGGGACCCCTCCGGGAACAGCCTCGCCTGCCAGCAGCCACTGACCCCGCCCCCACCCATCTGTAGGTACTGGCATGGGGACGACCTGCCGTTTGATGGGCCTGGGGGCATCCTGGCCCATGCCTTCTTCCCCAAGACTCACCGAGAAGGGGATGTCCACTTCGACTATGATGAGACCTGGACTATCGGGGATGACCAGGGTATGGGCTGGGGACCCATTTTCCAGATGGGGCAACCGAAGATCATAAAGAATGGGGACTCGCCAAGGTCACTGAGCTGGGGTCTGGAGCTGGATGTCCTGGGCAGGAGGTTCGGGGGTTGCTGAGCCACCTCCCTTTTTCAGGCACAGACCTGCTGCAGGTGGCAGCCCATGAATTTGGCCACGTGCTGGGGCTGCAGCACACAACAGCAGCCAAGGCCCTGATGTCCGCCTTCTACACCTTTCGCTACCCACTGAGTCTCAGCCCAGATGACTGCAGGGGCGTTCAACACCTATATGGCCAGCCCTGGCCCACTGTCACCTCCAGGACCCCAGCCCTGGGCCCCCAGGCTGGGATAGACACCAATGAGATTGCACCGCTGGAGGTGAGGCCCTGCCTGCCAGTCCCCCTACTCCTCTGCTGGCCACTGTGACTGCAGCATATGCCCTCAGCATGTGTCCCTCTCTCCCACCCCAGCCAGACGCCCCGCCAGATGCCTGTGAGGCCTCCTTTGACGCGGTCTCCACCATCCGAGGCGAGCTCTTTTTCTTCAAAGCGGGCTTTGTGTGGCGCCTCCGTGGGGGCCAGCTGCAGCCCGGCTACCCAGCATTGGCCTCTCGCCACTGGCAGGGACTGCCCAGCCCTGTGGACGCTGCCTTCGAGGATGCCCAGGGCCACATTTGGTTCTTCCAAGGTGAGTGGGGGTTGGGGATCTGCTCGAGAGACTTCCCAGAGCCAGGAATGTTATGGCCAAGGGCAGGAACAGACAGATGGATCCTTAGGGACACAGTGGATAGGGAGAGCTGCCCCAAAGCCTGGGGGCCGAGGGAGAGAGAGTGTGGTTTGTTCCTCAGGCACAGGTAGGAGGTTCTCGGAGGTGGCTCTTGAGATAGGAGCAGCGTGGAAGGGATTGCACGGTGGGGCCTCGTGTTGGTGCGTTCAACCCTCAGCCACCCCATGGGGCGGGGTTCTAGAGATGAGGCCTCTGGGGCCCCGAGGCAGTGAAGTGACTCACTGTGAGTGCAGCTGGGAAGAGGCAGGGCAGGGAATTGATCCAGGTCTATCATCCTAGAGCTGGGATTTCCATCCTCAACTGGCAGAGATGAGAGCCTGGAGCATTGCAGATGCCAGGGACTTCACAAATGAAGGCACAGCATGGGAAACCTGCGTGGGTTCCAGGGCAGTCCAGCCTGCAGGGGCCCAGGGAGTGGTCAGTAGGCATTTGTCACAGCCAAATGCCAGTGGAAGGAGCAGCCGCCCAGGCAGCCCTCTACTGATGAGAGTAACCTCACCCGTGCACTAGTTTACAGAGCATTCACTGCCCCAGCTTATCCCAGGCCTCCCGCTTCCCTCTGCGGGTGGGGTGCTGAGCAGGCATTATTGGCCTGCATGTTTTACTGATGAGGAAACTGAGGCTGGGAGAGTCTGTGGTAGGGGTCAAGCAGGTCCACAGTGGCGGGGCATGGCAGTGGTGGCTGGGCAGGTCCTTGCAGCCTTCCCTCTCCGGCAGGTGCTCAGTACTGGGTGTACGACGGTGAAAAGCCAGTCCTGGGCCCCGCACCCCTCACCGAGCTGGGCCTGGTGAGGTTCCCGGTCCATGCTGCCTTGGTCTGGGGTCCCGAGAAGAACAAGATCTACTTCTTCCGAGGCAGGGACTACTGGCGTTTCCACCCCAGCACCCGGCGTGTAGACAGTCCCGTGCCCCGCAGGGCCACTGACTGGAGAGGGGTGCCCTCTGAGATCGACGCTGCCTTCCAGGATGCTGATGGTGCGTTGGGGGTGAGGCAGCTGGTGGGAGGTGGGCACAGCAGCCGCTTCTCCCACCTGGTGGTGGCTGGGCTCCCACATGCCTGCCACAGGAAGTCTGGCTCTTCATCACAGGTCCTTTGTCCAGAGCCATCTGCCCTCCTCTCGGTGGCCGGCTAGTGCTACATTCCATATTGCAGATGAGGAAACTGAGGGTCAGAGAAGTGCAAGGTCTTACCCTGGTTTTTCAGCCACAGCCAGTAGAACAATAAACTGCTGTACACTGAGGGCCAACAATGCTCTAAGCTCCTTACTGGTCTCATCCAGTTCTCAGAACAGCCCTCTGATGTGACACCTGTTGTGAACCCAGTTTCCAGAGGAGCAAACAGAGGCTCAGGCAATGAGGCCCCTAACCTGGACTACCCTGGTGGTCCCTGCTCCTAACCACTGACCCACCCAGCCTCCCACAACCACAGGGGGCTAGAGCCAGTCCAGTGCTCCCTCCCCTGCTAGGCTCCTCTTCTGTGCTCTTTCTCCCACATCAGGACCCACTGGGAGAGCTATCCTAGGGTAGCCTCCAGCTCCAGGACTCCAGGGTGCCCGTCAATAGCCTGGCTAATTTAATAGATGCAGGAGAGAGTGATGTGGAGGGTGGTGGGGGCAACGGGACTTGCTTTCCTGAGAGGTGGGACTCAGGCCTCTGAGGCTCTGGGTACCTGTCAGGCTGGGTATTAGCCCAGCCCAGATTCCGGGGCAGGCAGAAGGGCTCCCTAGAGGGAAGAGAGGTTCTGAAAGGCCGGCCCTGGATCCTGCAGGACTCGAGGAACTCAGCAGTGGCCAAGGGCTTCCCACTCAGCCCTCCCTTAGTGCCCATCCCTGGGCACAGCCTGACAGGCAGGAGTAGGGCCCAGTGTCCGCTCGCCCAGGCTTGACCACCTTCTCTTCTCAGGCTATGCCTACTTCCTGCGCGGCCGCCTCTACTGGAAGTTTGACCCTGTGAAGGTGAAGGCTCTGGAAGGCTTCCCCCGTCTCGTGGGTCCTGACTTCTTTGGCTGTGCCGAGCCTGCCAACACTTTCCTCTGACCATGGCTTGGATGCCCTCAGGGGTGCTGACCCCTGCCAGGCCACGAATATCAGGCTAGAGACCCATGGCCATCTTTGTGGCTGTGGGCACCAGGCATGGGACTGAGCCCATGTCTCCTCAGGGGGATGGGGTGGGGTACAACCACCATGACAACTGCCGGGAGGGCCACGCAGGTCGTGGTCACCTGCCAGCGACTGTCTCAGACTGGGCAGGGAGGCTTTGGCATGACTTAAGAGGAAGGGCAGTCTTGGGCCCGCTATGCAGGTCCTGGCAAACCTGGCTGCCCTGTCTCCATCCCTGTCCCTCAGGGTAGCACCATGGCAGGACTGGGGGAACTGGAGTGTCCTTGCTGTATCCCTGTTGTGAGGTTCCTTCCAGGGGCTGGCACTGAAGCAAGGGTGCTGGGGCCCCATGGCCTTCAGCCCTGGCTGAGCAACTGGGCTGTAGGGCAGGGCCACTTCCTGAGGTCAGGTCTTGGTAGGTGCCTGCATCTGTCTGCCTTCTGGCTGACAATCCTGGAAATCTGTTCTCCAGAATCCAGGCCAAAAAGTTCACAGTCAAATGGGGAGGGGTATTCTTCATGCAGGAGACCCCAGGCCCTGGAGGCTGCAACATACCTCAATCCTGTCCCAGGCCGGATCCTCCTGAAGCCCTTTTCGCAGCACTGCTATCCTCCAAAGCCATTGTAAATGTGTGTACAGTGTGTATAAACCTTCTTCTTCTTTTTTTTTTTTTAAACTGAGGATTGTCATTAAACACAGTTGTTTTCTACCTGCCTGCTTGGTCTCCTTTTGTGAATGTTCAGCCAGGATGGGGAGGCCTGGCCACTGTCCAGCCCTATCCTGGGAGCCAGGGTCGAAGTCCACCACCCCCAAGCCTCTGGCCCTTGGGGCTGGGCACAGTGCTCAGGGCTCCTTCTGCTCCATTTCTACATCACATTTTGCTACAGTGGCTTCTTAACTGGCTCCCCACTTTCCTACTTGTCCCCTCTGTTCATCCTCCAGAGTGGTGGTTTATCTGCTCATGCCACAGCCCAGCCTGCCATACATAGCTGTGGTTTCTGCATCCGTAGGCTCAACTAACCTCGGGTAGAAAAAACAATGTTTAAAAAAAGGATGCGGACGGGCGCAGTGGCTCGTGCCTGTAATCCCAGTTCTTTGGGAGGCCGAGGTGTGTGGATCACCTGAGGTCAGAAGTTTGAGACCAGTCTGGCCAACATGGTGAAAACCCATCTCTACTAAATATACAAAAATTAGTTGGGTGTGGTGGCTCATGCCTGTAATCCCAGCTACTTGGGAGGCTGAGGCAGGAGAATCACTTGAACGTGGAGGCAGAGGTTACAGTGAGCTGAGATAGTGCCATTGCACTCCAGCCTGGGTGACAAGAGCAAAATTCCGTCTAAAAAAATAATAAAGTAAATAAATAGGCTGGGTGCAGTGGCTCATGCCTGTAATCCCAGCACTTTGGGAGGCTGAGGCCAGCAGATCACGAGGTCGGGAGATCGAGACCATCCTGGCTAACACCATGAAACCCCGTCTCTACTAAAAATACAAAAAATTAGCCAGGCGTGGTGGCGGGCGCCTGTAGTCCCAGCTACTCGGAAGGCTGAGGCAGGAGAATGGCGTGAACCCAGGAGGCGGTGCTTGCAGTGAGCCCAGATCATGCCACTGCACTCCAGCCTGGACGACAGAGCAAGACTCTGTCTCAATAAAATAAGTAAATAAATAAATAAATAAATAAATAAATAAGGGATGGTTACCTCTGTACTGAACATGTACGGACTTTTTTCCCTATCATTGTTCCCTAAACAATAGTATAACAACTATTTATATAACATTTGCATTGTATTAGGTAGTATAAGGAATCTAGAGATGATTTAAGGTATACAGGAAAGTGTGTGTAGGTTATATGCAAGTATGACACCATTTTATATAATGGACTTGAGCATCTGTGGACTTTATTATCTGCAGGGGGTCCTGGAACCAATTCCCATGGATACTGAGGGATGACTGTACTTTGGTTTCCCACCACTGTGAGGATACAGAACAAAGCAACTTCAGTCACTGCCCTTCCCAACTCTCCAGTGTCTCCTTGCCCTACCTTCCAGCCCCATGTGTGTCTTCGTAATAGCATAGTTGCATTTTTTTTTTTTTTAAGAGAGGCAGGGTCTCCCTTTGTTGCCCAGGCTGCAGTGCAGTGGTGCAATCAGCTCACTATAACCTTGAACTCCTGGGCTCAAGGGATCTTCCCCTCTCCACTTCCCAAGTAGCTGGGGCTACAGGTGCACACCGCCATGCCACACCCAGCTTATTTATTTTAGAATTTTTGTAGAGACAGGGTCTTGCTGTCTTGTCCAGTCTGGTCTCAAACTCCTGGCTTCAAGTGATCCTCCCTGCCTTGGCCTCCTAAAGAGTTGGGATTACAAGGCCGGGCGCAGTGGCTCACACCTGTAATCCCAGCACTTTGGGAGGCCGAGGGGGGCGGATCACGAGGTCAGGAGATCGAGACCATCCTGGCTAACATGGTGAAACCCTGTCTCTACTAAAAATACAAAAAATTAGCTGGGCGTGGTGGCGGGTGCCTGTAGTCCCAGCTACTTGGGAGGCTGAGGCAGGAGACTCCAGCCTCAAAAAAAAAAAAAAGAGTTGGGATTACAGGCATGAGCCGCTGAGCCCAGCCACAGCTGCAATTTCATTAGATTGAACGGTGTGAAATCATCAGTAGTGGGCCACTGTTTTACTCCCTGCATTATTCAATCATGATTGCTTTCAGACTTTCATTAGTTTCACTAGCTTCGCGCTGTAAGAGCCAAGAGGCAGAGCCACAGGGCTGGGCTGCCTGGTTTCACTCCCCACTGCAGGGCTCGGTTAAGCAGAGTGTAGGCTAAGAGAGGAATGGAGAAGGTGGAAGGTGTCTCTCCCTTCCAACGCTCATCTGATGCACCAGCCAAACCAAATACCACCTGGGCCTTTGAACATTGCCAAGCCTCATCCGCTGTTGTCATTTTGCCCACCTCCACAGCTGCAGGGACAGCCGTAGGCCCGGAACTGGGATATCTCTTCCTAGGGGCCTGCCTATCTGCTCAGCTGCACTGCGTTTTAGGGGTGGGGAAGCTAAGGCACGAGATTGGGGTCCCAAAGCATGCCCAGACCACCCAGGCTTCCAGATACTAGGTCCTCCTCCTTCAGGCCTCACTTCGTTGCTTTTCCCCTGGGCTCAGTTCCAGTCCTGGCTGTAAGACTGGGAAAGCCACTGCTTGAGTCAGGACCTCATTGGCTATTTTTGTCCGTGAGAAGTCCTCTACACCACGACTTGGGAGGCAGCCTGGGAGAAAGAGAAATTAGTCGTGGCTCCTTTAAGGGGTCCGCGGAGGCGCGCCCGGCCTTTTGTTTGAGCGGCGGCGCGCGCGTCAGCGTCAACGCCAGCGCCTGCGCACTGAGGGCGGCCTGGTCGTCGTCTGCGGCGGCGGCGGCGGCTGAGGAGCCCGGCTGAGGCGCCAGTACCCGGCCCGGTCCGCATTTCGCCTTCCGGCTTCGGTTTCCCTCGGCCCAGCACGCCCCGGCCCCGCCCCAGCCCTCCTGATCCCTCGCAGCCCGGCTCCGGCCGCCCGCCTCTGCCGCCGCAATGATGATGATGGCGCTGAGCAAGACCTTCGGGCAGAAGCCCGTGAAGTTCCAGCTGGAGGACGACGGCGAGTTCTACATGATCGGCTCCGAGGTAGCCCGGGGCGCGTTCTCGCCCTCCCCGGGCTCGGCCCCGCGGGAGCCCCGGGGCGGGCCCATGCGCCGAGAGCGCGCGTCTCCATTCATCGGGGCGGGCGGGCGCGCGCGCGCGCGCTCGGGGCTGTGGGGCGTGGCCTAGTGGGCGTGTCGGGTGTGGCCCCCGCCCCCTCATCGACCTGGGATTTCCTTACTTATTTCGCCGAGGTCCGCCGCCTTCAGTGCTGCCAAGATTTTGGCGCCGCGAGGGGCCCCAGTGGTTCCGCGCTGGGTTGGTTTCCAGTCAGACGCAAAGAAACGGGATATTGAGTTAGCCCCTGCGACGCTTGGGGGACTGCACTGCTGCCTTTGACCCTTTTTAGATGTCGTAAATTTCACGTGCACCCCTCCCCGTATTGCTACTTGTGGGAACCTCAAATGGCAGGCTGGAAACCCTGGACTTAGTGAGGGCTCATCCCCATTGTGTTTGTTGCCTCTTAGGTGAGCAGTGGAGGTCTTTTGACCTTTGTTTACCGGTGAAGAAACAGATTGGAGGAAGATGTTTGCTTTTGGGTGAATAAGGGCCCCATGCCTAAGCTAGATCTTTCAGCAGTTCTGAAGCGATTGACACTTTCCATATCTGTGAACTGATTCTGAATTATTACAGGGGAAAGAGCCTAAGGATGTTTAACCCTTAACTAGAGTGGCTGCATTTTGTTGCATCAACTGGATGACTGACTTCAGGAAAACTCTACTGGCCTTTGAATGGGTGTTTGTTCCAAGTCTATTAGGTTCTTGTTTTTTGTTTTTTATAGAGACAGGGTCTGGCTATGTTGCGCAGGCAGGTCTCCAACTCCTGGGCTCAAGCAGTCTGCCCGTCTGGGTCTCCCAAAGTGCTAGGATTACAGGCATGAGCCACCACACCCGGCCATATATTAGGTTTTTACAGATTGTCTCAAACTAGCCTTTTTTGCTCCAAAGGCAGTCCCCAGCTAGTATATGTTACCTTTTTAAAAAAATTATGGATATACAGTTCAGATGTACAAATGTCAAGCAGTAGAATCTCATGTAAGGAAGTAAGTGCCAATCCTGGAGAATTAAAGCTATCATGAAATGCCAAGAGTTTCTTCTCCTTATAGCAGTTTTTAGTATCATATTCCAGCATTTTATTCGTACTTTATTTTCTTTTATTTTTGAAAAAAGATCTCACTTTGTGCAGTGGTGTGATCTCGGCTCACTGCAGCCTTGACCTCCTGGGCTCAAGCGATCCTCCTGCCTCAGCCTCCCAAGTACCTGGGACTACAGGTGTGCACCACCGTGCCCGACTAATTTTTGTATTTTTTGTAGAGACAGGGTTTTGCCATGTTGCCCAGGCTGGTCTTGAACTCCTGGGCTCAAGTGATCCTTGCACCTCAGCCTCTCAAAGTGCTGGAATGACAGGTGTGAGCTACTGCACTCACACTCAGCGCATTCATACTTTTTAAACTTGTGGGTTTTATCCTTCACAATTGAGCATAGCATGAATGAATGAAGCCTCAAGATGGTCACACTGAGTCCCATGGATGAGACTAAGGTCAATAGCATCAGAACTTTAGTGTTAGCATTTTCCACCATTTTTTTTTTCTGGACGAGGTTTGACTCTATCACCCAGGCTGGAGTGTAGTGGTGTAATCTCGGCTCACTGCAACCTCCGCCTCCCAGGCTCAAGCCGTCCTCCCACCTCAGTCTCCCAAGTAGCTGGGACTACACGCACACACCACCACACCCGGCTAATTTTTATATTTTTAGTAAAGATGGGGTTTTACCATATTGTCCAGGCTGGTCTTAAACTTGTGAGCTCAAGTGATCTGCCCGCCTCGGCCTCCCAAAGTGCTCGATTATAGGCGTGAGCCACTGTGCCTGGCCTCCACTAATTTTTATAAAACAAAAAATATAGGATTCAATAAAATTTTCACGTTGTCACTTAAATTACAACTGTTCAAAGATGCCAGTGCTGGGGAGGTAGAGCCAGTGCCTGTCCATCTGCCACAGTTCAGAATGGTCCTCATTGGCCAGTAGGCACCTGCCTAACTGCAGAATGCAAAAGGTGTCAAATTTCAGCCTGTGATACTAGGCGAGTTGTTTACCTGATCTAATGGGTGTAAAAGTAATCAGTTTGGCTCTAAGTAGGTGACACTTCAAAAGAAAGCTTTCATTTATTAGTTGGAGCAAATTGAGAAGCTGTGCGTGGCCAAGTGGGAAGAACCTTGGGAGGCCTGGTTCCAGCCCTGCTCTGCCTTGCTGTCGTGTTTCTCATGTGTATAATGTGATGCTTAGACTAGATGGTCTCCAAGATCTTCCCCAAAACACATTTTAGTTTCTAGAAAGCTAATTACAGTCTTGTCTTTCAGCCCCTTGACTCCTGGGCCTCCCAGTAAGAATAATCTTCCTGAGACCCAGGCTGTAAGAGACTCAGTTGGAGAGGCAGTTTGTTCTTTTGGGCCTGACTTAATCATCAGACCTTCGGAGTTTAGGGAAGAGTTCAAGGTCAGAGCTCTATTGAAATTCAGTAGCTCCAGTGATAGTAGTGGATGGACGGTCTCAGCCCACTGCCCTGTGGAAAACAGGCACTGTATTCAGAGAGGTGGGCCAGCCATAGCAACATACCCAGTGCCTCCATGCGCCATCTGTGGAGCTGTCTTGGGAAGGCATCTGCATTTACTAAGAGTGTGTGTCACTGTTCTGCCATTAACAGACAGCTGTATTTACCAAGCCGGAGTCATGGAGCTTTGAGGACCCTAACAGATCCCCAAGTCCAGCACCTTGATTTTATATTCAGGAAACCTGGGTCCCAAGAGGGTGAAGGCTGGTTCAGAGGAAAGCCAGGAAGGCAAGCCCAGTTTCCTAAGTTCTGAAGGGGCTTTGGGGGGCATCTAGGAGACTCAGAGCCCTGCAGGGCCTGCAAGGTAGTCATAGGGGGGAGTATTGTCAATTTCTTTTAAAAAACCTAATGGAAACTCTACATTTACCATGATACTGGATGATACTGACACACAAGCCAAATAACATAGAGGGGTCTGTGCCCTCTATGTGGAAAGCGAGTGACTTGCTGTGTCTGCTCTTCTCTCAGCGTTCAGTAGCCCTGGTTGTTGATTACAGTCACTGCTGAAAATGGAGAAACATTTTATTTAATACTATGCCTGGGTCTCACACCTATAATCCTAGCACTTTGGGAGGCCCAGGCAGGAGAATCACTTGAACCCAGGAGTTTAAGACCAGCCTGGGCAACATAGTGAGACTCTTGTCTCTACAGATTTTTATTTTTATTTTTTTTAATTAGGCCGGGTATGTGGCTCACACCCGTAATCCCAGCACTTTGGGAGGCCGAGGTGGGCAGATCGCTTGAGCCCAGGAGTTTGAGACCAGCCTGGGCAACATGGTGAAACTCCGTCTCTACAAAAAATACAAAAATTAGCCGGTTGTGGTGGCAAGCAACTATAGTCCCAGCTACTCAGGAGGCTGAGGCAGGAGGATCGCTTGAGCCGAGGAGTTCGAGGCTGCAGTGAGCTATGATCGATCGCACCACTGCAATCGAGCCTGGGTGACAGAGCGAGACCCTGTCTCAAAAATAATAATAAAAATTAAAAATAAATTTAAAAATGCAAAATATATACTATGTTGCGTAGATAAAATGGGAAACATAATAGAAGTGGTCCTTCATGGGGGTGAAGTTCAGAGTTGCTGAGCATTTGGCAGATGAGTAAAGGGTACCCAGAAAATGGGAAGTGATCCCAGGTTACAGATGGAGCCAGCACCTGGCACCCAGTCTATTGGCCATCCCCTGCAATGTGACTCCGAAGTGATCATACTTGAAAAGTCAACGAGACAATAGGGTACCCTCATAAAAACTTTAGGTCTAGATTTATTTTCCTTAAGGAAGTCACACTTTCAGTATTTGCTACAAGCAAACTGAAGCCATTGTTTGAGTCAGTGATGATTTATATAGCAGTCTGGTGATTGCCTTGTAAACCTTTTGGAAAATTCCTTTGGTATCCCTGGTTTGGGTTTTGTTACTAAACAAAGCAACACAGGCCATGGGGGAAATTATCTGGCATCTGTCTAAAATTAAAAGACCTTTTTGGTGTTTATTACATTGTAAAGATATCAAAGTCTTGTCCTTAAGATAAAAGAAGGTCAAGGAGGCCTTGCATTTCTGGAAAGTGCCAGAGATCCTTAGTCCAAAATCAAAATCACCACGAACTTCTTGCTAAGCTCTGGGGGCCTCCCACTCAGGCATCTGCCCAGGCCTTTCGGAACTTGGTTCTGTTGTCAGGATGCACATATGCAGGCCAGATGTGCACTGCTGGTGAACCCTTCATATCAGCAGAATGTGTTTTAATGCTGCCGAAAGCGTGGCGCCTGGGGGCCACCTCAAGGCCTGTTTGTCTGTTGCTTGATGCAGTCTGCGCCAGGACCCTCCCCTTCCCTGTGGTGCTGCGACCCTTATAATGAGCCTTCTTGCTTTACTCATAGGTGGGAAACTACCTCCGTATGTTCCGAGGTTCTCTGTACAAGAGATACCCCTCACTCTGGAGGCGACTAGCCACTGTGGAAGAGAGGAAGAAAATAGTTGCATCGTCACATGGTAAAAAAACAAAACCTAACACTAAGGGTGCGTCTTCACGAGGGTTTGTAAACCTGTTTCAAAACCACTCGCTTATGTCATGAAGATAAAACGTTTTCACTCCAGAGTGTCTTCACTGCAGCCTTGGCCTTAGTCGGGCAGGGAGCATCCCGGGGTGGGCCGCCCTGTGAGCACTCCAGGCAAGGAAGTGGCTCCAGGGAGCCATTGGTGGTCCACTGTCAGTTATTTCCAGCAGGGCCATTGGGTATGTGAGCGGGCCGGGGCCAGGACACTAGCAGGTGCTGTGAAGACATGTTGGTCTCAAAACGTTTTAGGAATGCTGCGATGCTCTGCCATCTGTCGTGGGTGTGTCGCCATAATCATCTTCCATGCAGCCCAAGTGGCGGGTGGTGGTCCCAGCTCCCACTCCCCTCTGGGGCTTTCACTGCTTGCTTCCTGGAGCACATCCATCCCATAGCACTTCATCCTGGCAGCCAGTGTGCTAGAGCCCATGTGCATGTCCCTGCTCCTGGTGGCCTGCGTGTGCCTGGGGCTTGCTAGGTACACTAGTGAAACTAGTGGGCTTTGGGTCACGGCAGCTCTGTGCAGGGTGAAAGGGTGCTCTTCAGACACTCTGGGGGCTCTGTGGGAGACACTCCCATGGAGACATTTGGGTGTGGACACAGCATGTCCTTGGGCAGGTGGCAAAACTGCTTCCCACGTGGCAATGGCGCCTTGTAGAGAGCTGCCCTGGGCCTGGGTGTGTCTGTGAGCATGTGCGCGATGCTTCGTAGTCTGCCCTGTTTGTTTGTGTCTGTAGGTGCTGCTGTGGTTTTGTCCACTGCGGGAAAGTAGTGGTTCTTTTAATGCAGGAGCCGGAGCTTCTTTTTGATCTGCTGCTATGACATTTCCACTCACTTGCTTAAAACAGTTTCCTTTTTGTTCCCCCTCCTCCCCTAGCAGAGCATCAGTCGCTAACACAGTGAGTCCCCAGCTTTGCTTCCCCCTCCGCAAGTCCCTGGGCTAAGTCTTGGGAGATACCTTCCCCATAAGCGATTGATTTCTCCAGGAGAAGCCAGACTGGGCCCACAGACAGGTAGCTCTTGACGGAGATTCCCCGGAAGAGCTAGGGGTCGAGCTGCCTAGAATCTGTCCTGCTTCCCAGGCAGCACGTGTGGACCGGCTCGGGGATAGAAATTCGTGTTTGGTGTGAAGCAGCTCTTTCCAACTCTCTGGGCTCTTGTTTTAAAAGAAAAGTATTCTTCATCTTCCATTCCATCTCCCCACCTTGCATCGTGTTGTGGATTGTGGTGGTGTCAGACCTCTTCCCACTGGGGTGTTACTCTGGGAGCTTTCTTTTCCCCTGAGTGAGGACCAAGAGAATATGTTCTGGAGTCGAGTGTCCCCGCTGGTCGTGCTGTATTGTAGTTGCTGGTGCTGCCCTGAGCACTTCCCTCTGCCCCGAGCCAGTGCTCCTGGGGCAGATTAGTCCAAATCAGTCCCATTGGAGGCTCTACCCAGCAGGACTTGTAAGTAAAGCACTCAGTCCAGATTGCCCTTTTGGAAGAGGCCAGCATTCAGCAGTAGTAAGTTTGACACCTTGCTTTTCCCACCTCCCGCATGCGAGGACCTTGATGTGCTGCATCCACTTGGCTGGCTGCTGTGTGCCACCGCCACCAGCAGAGTGACCCAGTGATGTTTGTCTGTTACAGATCACGGATACACGACTCTAGCCACCAGTGTGACCCTGTTAAAAGCCTCGGAAGTGGAAGAGATTCTGGATGGCAACGATGAGAAGTACAAGGCTGTGTCCATCAGCACAGAGCCCCCCACCTACCTCAGGTAATGCGTTCCTGGCCAGGGCATCTCTGGGGACACCTGTGGGGTCTTTTCTGAGACTCAAGAACTGGTTGGGTTGAAGTTAAATTGAAACACTTTTTTTTTTTTTTTTTGAGATGGAATCTTGTTCTTGTCGCCCAGGCTGGAGTGCAGTGGCACGATCTTGGCTCACTGCAACCTCTGCCTCCCAGGTTCAAGCGATTCTCCTGCCTCAACCTCCCAAGTAGCTGGGATTACAGGTGCCTGCCACTATACCTGGCTAGTTTTTTTTTCTTTGAGACAGAGTTTCACTCTTGTTGCCCAGGATGGAGTGCAATGGCGTGATCTCAGCTCACTGCAACTTCTGCCTACTGGGTTCAAGTGATTCTCCTGCCTCAGCCTCCCAGATAGCTGGGATTACAGGCATGCGCCACCACGCCCAGCTAATTTTGTATTTTTGGTAGAGACGAGTCTCTCCATGTTGGTCAGGCTGGTCTCGAAACCCCACCTCAGGTGATCCGCCCGCCTTGGCATCCCAGAGTGCTGGGATTACAGGCGTGAGCCACCGCGCCCGGTCCTGATTTTTGTATTGAAACACTTTTTAACAGTTCCCTCTGTTTTTATACATTTTCTTAGCCAGGTTTCTAAGTTTCTTCTATATCATTGGAATTTCTAAGAAACGTAAGCCAAGTCCTGGATTCCGGAGAACAGTTACAAATGCTTGGAAAGTGGGACTCGTGGGGCACAGTGGCTTATGTTTGTAATCCCAGCGCTTTGGGAGGCCGAGGCATTGCTTGAGGCCAGGAGTTTAAGACCAGCCTGGGGCAACACAGCAAGACCTCATTTCTTAAAAAAACATGTAAGTGGGACCAATTTGTCAGAAAAATCAGTGGCTCACATAAACTCACAAAAGAAACAACAATAGATTTGAATGTATAAAAACTTAGAACCTGGCTGGGCACGGTGGCTCACACCTGTAATCCCAGCAGTTTGGGAGGCCGAGGTGGGCAGATCACCTGAGGTCAGGAGTTAGAGAGCAGCCTCATCCACATGGAGAAACCCCATCTCTACTAAAAATACAAAATTAGCCAGGTGTGGTGGCACATGCCTGTAATCCCAGCTACTCGGGAGCCTGAGGCAGGAGAATTGCTTGAACCCGGGAGGTGGAGATTGCAGTGAGCTGAGGTTGCACCTTTGCACTCCAGACTGGGCAACAAGAGTGAAACTCCACCTCAAAAAAAACAAAAACAAAACAAAACTTAGAACCTTTAGAAGAGTATTTATAGTAACAATTAAAAAACCAAGTAATTGGGAAGTTACGATGTTGTATCTAGAATCTATACATCTAGATTTATACAACAAACTTGGATACCCCAACAAATAGGTAAAAGATGGTCCATACCTTGAAGTACAAGGGAGTAAACAAACATGGAAAGAATTTGCCCTCATGTGTAATTTCAAAAATTCCAAGCATAAGACTGGGCATGGTAGCTTATGCCTGTAATCTCAGCACTTTGGGAAGTCAAGGCAGGAGGATCGCTTGAGCCCACGATTTGACTGTGTTGCCCAGGAGACCAGCCTGAGCAACATAGTGAGACGTTATCTCTACTGAAAGTTAAAAAAATTAGCTGAGTGTGGTGATCACACCACTGTCCTCTAGCCTAGGTAACAGAACGACACTCTTTGTCTCTTAAAAAAAATAAAAAACAGGCCGGGCACGGTGGCTCACGCCTGTAATCCCAGCACTTTGGGAGGCCGAGGCGGGCGGATCACCTGAGGTCAGGAGTTCGAGACCAGCCTGACCAACATGGTGAAGCCTCATCTCTGCTAAACGTACAAAGTTAGCCTCGCATGGTGGTGCATGCCTGTAATCCCAGCTACTCAGGAAGGCTGAGGCAGGAGAATCACTTGGACCCGGGAGGCGGAGGTTGCGGTGAGCCGAGGTTGCGCCATTGCTCTCCAGCCTGGGCAACGAGAGTGAAACTCCATCTCAAAATAATAAAATAAAATAAAAAATAAATAAATAAAAAATAAAAATAAAAATTCCAAGCATAAAACAAAAAACTGGCAACATAAGGAATTGGGGAAGGTGTGATAGAACTGCACTCATGTGTGCTGGAGGTGCTTTTTTTTTTTTTTTTTGAGATGGAGTTTTCACTCTTGTTGCCCAGGCTGGAGTACGGTGGCATGATGTCGGCTCACTGCAACCTCCGCCTCCTGGGTTCAAGCGATTCTCTTGCCTCAGCCTCTGGAGTAGCTGGGATTACTGGAATGCACCACTATGCCTGGCTAATTTTTTTGTATTTTTATTAGAGACGGGGTTTCACCATTGTGCCCAGGCTGGTCTCGAACTCCTGACCTCAGGTAATCCTCCCGCCTCGGCCTCCCAAAGTGGTGGGATTACAGGTGTGAGCCACTGTGCCCAGCCGGGAGTGCCCTTTCTGTAAAGCATCCTGACATCAAACTTTTTTGTTCTCTGGCCCATTAATACCGCCCCTGGGAATTTGTCCCAAAGAAACATTTTCAAAGAACAAAATGAATCAGTAAACCCACTATATGTACAGAGATTCTCTGTAGCATTGTGAATAATACTGGAGAATATGGAGTCGCTTAAGTATCCAGCCTTTAAGGAAAGGCTAGGTTAGTGACGGGTCAGCCACTTGAATGGACAAAGGTGTGACCCATACATGGTATAATTAAGTAGATTCTGCAGTGACCCGAGACGGGTCCTGTGGGTGAGACGTGCAGAATACAAGATTGTACCCATCTACCTTGTGCATTCAGCTCTCAACAAAGTATGCATTTCTCTGCACAAAGCCCAAGGAGCATTAAGAAAAAGGATTATTGTTCAGAGTGATGTGGTTATGGAAAATCTTTTTTATGATTCCCCTGAAAGGTGGCACGCCTCCAGGCTGGCCAGTGTTACAGACGTGTGCTTTGCAGATTCTTTTTCCCCCAAGGGATGTGGTAAGAACATAAGGATGGCTTGGCCTTCCCAGGGAAGTTGCAGAAGGAAATTGTGTACATATGGAGGGCACTTTAATTCTGCACATGTCAGCTGGGAATCTTTTATGGGGCGATAAAACAGTTTCTTGGTGATCATGTCGTGAGGAACAGCTGCAGGAGTGGAATCCCGTTGCCCTGGAGGTCAAGTCTTTAGGGGTGGGGGCTGGCAGAGGTTTGAGGGAAGTGGCTTTGGCTGGCTCCACACTACTCAGTCAGCCCAATAAGGGGACTTATGGCACCCTCCCCATCCTGTCATCGGACAATTTGAGCAGAGGCTGGGTGCCCTCTCTCAGGGATGCTGGGATTGCAATGGAAGGAAGGTTGTTTTTCTTTTTTTTTTTTTTTTTGAGACGGAGTCTCGCTGTCGCCCAGGCTGGAGTGCAGTGGCGCAATCTCGGCTCACTGCAGGCTCCGCCCCCTGGGGTTCACGCCATTCTCCTGCCTCAGCCTCCCGAGTAGCTGGGACTACAGGCGCCCGCCACCTCGCCCGGCTAATTTTTTGTGTTTTTAGTAGAGACGGGGTTTCACCGTGTTAGCCAGGATGGTCTTGATCTCCTGACCTCGTGATCCGCCCGCCTCGGCCTCCCAAAGTGCTGGGATTACAGGCGTGAGCCACCGGGCCTGGCCTGTTTTTTTTTATTATTATTATTTTTTTTGAGACGGAGTTTCGCTCTGTCGCCCAGGCTGGAGTGCAGTGGCGCCATCTTGGCTCACTGCAAGCTCCGCCTCCCAGGTTCACACCATTCTCCTGCCTCAGCCTCCCGAGTAGCTGGAACTACAGGTGTCTGTCACCACGCCCGTCTAATTTTTTTTGTATTTTTAGTAGAGATGGAGTTTTATTGTGTTAGCCAGGATGGTCTCGATTTCCTGACCTTGTGATCCGCCCACCTCGGCCTCCCAAAGTGCTGGGATTACAGACATGAGCCACTGCGCCTGGCCTTTTTTTTTTTTTTTTTTTTTTTTTTGAGATCGAGTTTCGCTCTGTCACCCAGGCTGGAGTGAAGTGGCGGGATCTCAGCTCACTGCAACCTCCCCTTCCCGGGTTCAAGTCATTCTCCTTCCTCAGCCTCCCAAGTAGCTGGGATTATAGGCACCAGGCACCACACCTAGCTAATTTTTCGTAGTTTTAGTAGAGACGGGGTTTCACCATGTTGGCCAGGCTGGTCTCGAACTCCTGACCTCAGGTGATCCGTCCGCCTCGGCCTCCCAAAGTGTCGGGGTTACAGGTGTGAACCACCACACCTGGCCAGAAGGTTGAATTTTATGGCTTAGATTTGCAGATTCTGTGTATGGCTGAGCATGTTACTCACATTCACTGTGTCTAGTGACACTTGCATTGTCCACTTGAGTTGATAGCTAGACCTGGAAATGAGAACTTGCTACTGAGATAGGGCAGGATGAGGGGGCAGGGGCTCAGCCCAGGCTCTAACGTATCCAGTCAGAAAAGAGGAGGTGGTCAAGATCTGTGGTTTGCAAATACAGGCTCAGCTACCTGGAAATCACCCGTGGAAGCTGCAAAGAACACATCTTCTTGGGCCCTTCCTCAGAGGTGGGAAGTCACTCCACCTGGGTGGGGCTCAGGAATGTGCTTCTTAAAATTTTGCATTCTGGGTTTGGGTGTTGTAGCTCACACCTGTACTCTCAGCACTTTGGGAGGCCAAGGTGGGAGGATTGCTTGAGCCCAGGAGTTTGAGACCAGCCTGGGCAACATAGTGAGACCCCACCATCTCTATAAAAATAAAAAAATTTAAAAATTGCACTCTGAGCGGCCAGGATTAGGAACTATGACCCAGATAGGTTGTAGAGGGGACCCCTGTCTTGCTGTCCCCTCTCATAGTCTCTGCCCAAGCTGATTCCATGTTCCCCAAATTGGGTACTACAAAATCCTCCCTACCCCTACCAGCGATCAAGGGGTAGTCCCAGCCTCAGCATCAGACGTGTAAGTGATTCCCACTTTAGAAGGGAAAAGAGTTAAAGGGCCCAGAGTCCAGGCAGGTCTTGGCCATTGCTTCTGCCCTCCCCCACCCTCTGGAAAGGAGAAGGACCTTTGTGCTGTCTTCCCGGGTCCCTCCTTAGAGGGAACTGTCAAACGTTTGTCGGCCGGGCGCGGTGACTGACGCTTGTAATCCCAGCACTTTGGGAGGCCGAGGCGGGCGGATCACAAGGTCAGGAGATCGAGACCATCCTGGCTAACAGGGTGAAACCCCGTCTCTACTAAAAATCAAAAAACTTAGCCGGGCGTGGTGGTGGGCGCCTGTAGTCCCAGCTACTCGGGAGGCTGAGGCAGGAGAATGGCGTGAACCCGGGAGGCAGACCTTGCATTGAGCCCAGATGGCGCCACTGTACTCCAGCCCAGGCGACAGAGCGAGACTCCATCTCAAAAAAAAAAAAAAAAAAAGTTTGTCATGACTTGCTCTGAATGGTTGAATAGTTATTGTGGAAGTGGTTGCGCAGGTGTTGGGGTTACACAGGGAAGTGACACACAGTCGCTGCCTGCTCCTGCTCACAGCCTTGCCAGGGAAAATGGAAAAGCACAGAGCACAACGGGCACCCAAATGCTCTCATCTGTTTCACCCAGCCCTGGAGCCTTAGTTTAAAACAGCTTTTGGTATTTTTTTTTTTTTTTCGAGATAGGATGTTGCTCTCTCGCCCAGGCTGGAGTGCAGTGGTTGATCCCGGCTCACTGCAACCTCCGCCTCCTGGGTTCAAGTGATTCTCATGCTTCAGCCTCCTGAGTAGCTGGATTATAGACGTGTGCCACCACGCCTGGCTAACTTTTGTATTTTTGGTAGGGTTGAGGTTTCACCATGTTGGCCAGGCTGGTTTCGAACTCACCTTTTGGTTTTTTTTTTTTTTTTTGAGATGGAGTTTCGCTCTTGTTGCCCAGGCTGGACTGCAATGGTGTAATCTCGGCTCACTGCAACTTCTGCCTCCTGGGTTCAAGTGATTCTCCTGCCTCTGCCTCCTGAGTAGCTGAGATTACAGGTTCCTGCCATCACACCTGGCTAATTTTTTTTTTTTTTTTTTTTTTTGAGACGGAGTCTTGCTCTGTCTCCCACTCTGGAGTGCAGTGGCGCAATGTTGGCTCACTGCAAGCTCTGCCTCCCGGGTTCACGCCATTCTCCTGCCTCAGCCTCCTGAGTAGCTGGGACTGCAGGCGCCTGCCACCACGCCCGGCTAATTTTTTGTATTTTTAGTAGAGACGGGCTTTCACCATGTTGGCCAGGCTGGTCTTGATCTCCTGACCTCGTGATCTGCCCGCGTCGGCCTCCCAAAGTGCTGGGATTACAGGCGTGAGCCACCGCGCCCGGCTACACCTGGCTAATTTTAGTATTTTTAGTAGAGACAGGGTTTCACCATGTTGGCCAGGCTGGTCTTGATCTCCTGACCTCAGGTGATCCATCCGCCTTGGCCTCCCAAAGTGCTGGGATTACAGGCGTGAGCCACCGCACCTGGCCTGGTTTCGAACTCTTGACCTCAGGTGGTCTGCCCATCTTGACCTTCCAAAGTGCTGGAGCTACAGGCATGAGCCACTGCACCTGGTGCTTTTGGTAAAAGCAACCTGGAATTTGGGAGAAAAGATCAAACGCTTCATGGGACATGGGTTATTTAAATTACCTTGGATGTCACCTCTGGAAGGTATTTATCAACCCATCTTCTCAACTTCTACTGCTGTGGAAGCTGAGAGGCCAGAGGCCTTGCCTAGTCCATCTCAGGATGGCTGGTATGTCTAAAATGACAGCCTGATCATGTCTCTTCCTTCAAAACCCTGGGGACTCCCAGCCACCTGCTGAGTAAAGTCATCTCACGGAGCATGTGAGACCTGTGATCGGTCCCCTCCCTGGGGACCTCCTCCCTGGACTGCCCCTCAGTCTCTCCTCCTTGCTGCTGCCCGTGCCCCTCCCCGCAGTGAACCCTGACTCAGTGTCTAAGGCTGTGCTCTATTATCCACTCCTCTGGGAAGTCTCCCCCTTGTACCACTTCCCCGCATCCAGGAAGTGCTTCCGTGGAGCCATGCCTGGCTCATAGTGCAGTACACCATGGCCGTGCTGTGTCTGGTGCCCCTACGTACCCTTGCCCTTGCCCAGGTGCCTCTAGCATCTGATGACAGCCTGGGGAGCAGGCTCCTGCAAAGTCAGGTGCACAGACAACTCCCATGGGAGCCTCGAGCCTGACAGAGGTACAGTGGGCATCCCTGGAGCATTAGTTGATTCCTGGTGGGCAGGATCAGGCTCCTATACTGACTGGGAGGACTTTTCTTGTATCTCCTCAGGGAACAGAAGGCCAAGAGGAACAGCCAGTGGGTACCCACCCTGCCCAACAGCTCCCACCACTTAGATGCCGTGCCATGCTCCACAACCATCAACAGGAACCGCATGGGCCGAGACAAGAAGAGAACCTTCCCCCTTTGGTGTGGATGCATCGCTGCACTCACCCTCCGTGCTGATTCCGCCTTAGTTCTCCAGCACGTTTCAGTTCCTTCCTCCCCAGAAAAACACTCTGCTTTGACCTTGTGCTCCCCACAACGCCACAGTACCTCCTCGCCTTTGAACTGTTGTGTTTCCCTGACTTCCAGGACATTGTCCATAGCCTCCTTGGCTCTGTCTGCTGTCACCTTGCCATGTCCTCCTCACCTCTCTGGCCCCTCAAGTGGAGTTACTCAGGGCGCGGTCCTTGGGCCCTTTCTCTGCCCTCAGTTTCACATGAGTGGGCCACAGCCAGTCTGATGGTGCAGATGCCATCCACGTGACTCCCACTGTGCCACCATTTCCCAGAGCCTGCTGGAGTAAACCACCACAAACTGGTGGCTTCGAGCAGAGCACATTTCTTCCCTCACAGTTCTGGGGCCCAGGAGCCTGGATTTAGTTTCACTAGACCAGACTCATGTGTGGACAGGGCCATGCTCCCTCCAGAGGCCATCGAGGCGATTCGGTCCTTGCTTCTTCCAGCTTTGGGGGCTGCCACGTTCCAGTCTCAGCCTCTGTGGTCACGTGGCCTTCTCTGCATGAAACTTCCCTGTCTCTCTCTTAGAAGGACACTTGGCGATGTAATTTAGGGCCCTTCTGGTTAATCTCTCAGGATCTTTCACTTAATCGTATCTTCAAAGTCTCCTTTTTTGGCCATATGAGCTGACAGTCACAGGTTTTGGGGATTAAGTTGTAGATGTCTTCGGGGTCTGTTTTTTACCTCTGTGGCCCAGACTTCCTCAGCTGCCCTCACCCCCTCAGCCTCATGCTGCCTGAAGACCTCTCCATCTCGGCGCGTGGAGATCCAGCCCTCTCCTTGCTCAGGCTGTAGGTTTCTTTCCCAAGGCCTGCCTTTTCCTCACACAGCAAGTCCAGTCTCTCCAGGTTCTCCCCTGGGACTGCCTCAGACAGCCCCCCACTGCTCTCCCTGGGGTCTCTAGCAGCCCCTACCTCCCCTCCCTGCTGCCTTCTCAGCTCTGCAGCTGGTGTGGCCTCTGCTCCAGGCAGATCATGTCACCTCTCCACGCAGAATCCTCCAGGCTCCCCATCACCCTCGGAGCAGAAGCAGGAGTTCTCACTGGGGTGCCAGGCCCAACCTGGCCTGGTGCTGCCACCGCTGCACTCTGCCCCACTCACCCTGCCTCAGGCCTGAGAACGTCCTCATTGCTGTCAGACCTCCCAGAGCTCCTGCCCTGCAGTTGCCTCTGCTGAGGTTTAGCCCCGTTCTCCCTCCTCCCCTCTTTCCTTTCCTCCTTCCTTCCTTCCATCATTCCTCCTTCCCTCCCTCCCATCCTACCCCCTCCTCCTTTTCCTTCTGTCTTCCTTCCCTCTATCTCCTCTTCCCATCCCTAGTTGACTGTCCCCTTCTCCCTTAGAGTGGCCACCCCTTTTCTGCAGCATCCCTGCCCCTTTCCCTGTCTGTTTCCCAGCGCATTCATGCCTGGCACTCAGCTCACTTTTCTCTGTCTTCCATCTACCTCCCAAGGTCACTGGGGGCCTTTCGCAGCCCTCTCCATGCTCCCAGACGCCCTTAGGTGTCCTGTGTCCTCCAGCTCCATTTCACCAACCTGCCTGCCGGACTCTTCCCTCTTTATCTTCCCAAAGTACTCCATTGCTTGGAATCCTCCTGGGACTCCCTCAGGGCAGTGGCCAGTTTGCATAGCCTGAGGGAAGAACTGTGGGTGCTTCGACACCCGCTAGCTTTGCAGCATCCCTGACCACTGCTCCTCACGGAATCTGTGCTCTGTGGTCTGTTTGTACGTCCTCAGCAGTTCCTCCATTCACCTGCCTTGGCCTTGCTAGAATATTTCCTCTTCTGGAAATGCCCTTCTCCTTTCCCATAGCCTTCCATGAAAGTCCTGCCAAATTTCAGGCTTAAATATCCCTTCACAGGATGTCTGGGTGTTGTTCCAACACTGCCCAGGTCGATTCTATTGCAGACAGACTGGTGCTTGTTATTTATGGCCCCAACTGTCCCCATTAGACCGTGGCCCCGGGACCCCTGCTAGCCTCGTCTGCTGCCTCAGCTGTTAGCTGACAAGCGGCCATCTTCCCCAGATGGGTTTGCAGAAGCCTGCTGTGCAGAGAGAGAGGCTGAAAATTTGCATACCTAGGGCTCCGGCCCCCTCGCTGACTGTTGCTTCCATTTCACTTTCAGCTTTGATGACCATGACCCAGCTGTGATCCATGAGAACGCATCTCAGCCCGAGGTGCTGGTCCCCATCCGGCTGGACATGGAGATCGATGGGCAGAAGCTGCGAGACGCCTTCACCTGGAACATGAATGGTACAAGGCAGTCGGGCTTGGCTGGGCCTGGCCCCAACCCCTGTGTGTTACGTGGGAACAGTCCCGTTTCCTGCCAGCTGCCTGTCAGGCAGATTCTGGACCTGACACGCAGGACATCGGGGCATAGTTTTGGAGGGTGTGGGCTCTGGGTTCAGTCCTGGTTCTGTTGCTGTTCACTGTGGATTGGGCCTGTGAACTTTGGACTCTTTCCCCATACTGAGGTTGGGTGGCCCAAGAGGCCTGGCATGGGAGGCGGCTGATCTGCATAGCATGGATGATGATGACAATGCCAGTCAGACCTAGTTCAGCCCCCGAGCCCTGCACACACCTGCCTTGGGTCCTGTCCACCACTCTGCTTCTGCTGTGTGAGGCTGCATGTGTGCCCCGTGCCTCTCTCCTCCTCTAACTGGTCATCTCTAGACATCCTCACTCTGTAAGTCCTGGGTCAGATGCCATCTCTTCTGGCTCTTCCTGGGCTTCCAAAGCCTGGACAGAACTCGGTCTTTGTGCAAATGTAGACAGAAAGGTTAGAAGGATATGCATCCCAGGTGTCTAGACTGCTTATCCCATCTGGGAGGGTGGATCATGCATGCATTTATTGTTTTCTCTATTTTTAAGTCTGTTAGAATGTATTTTTATTATTTTATTTTATGATTACTGTTTTTTTAGATCTTGTTGCATACCAGTTTTTTTTTTACTTAGTGTCTGTATCCTGCTGAATTTTTATAATGAACATACTATTTATATTCAGACAAAATGCAGTGAATATCATCTTTATTTTACTTATTTTTTTTTTTAAGAGACAGAGTCCCACTCTGTTGCCCAGGCTGGAGTACAGTGATACTCTCATAGCTCACTGTAATCTTGAACTGCCTGGGCTCAAGCAGTCCTCCTGCCACAGCCTCCCAAATAGCTAGGAATACAGGTGTGCACCACTGTGCCAAGCGTTACCATTTTTAAATGAGTAAATGTTTAAAATCATCAGAATCTCACCACCTGAATAATGTTTTCAGTTTTACCTTTTCTGTCAATTCCACATGCAAACATATTTAACATAGTTGTCACTATAGAGCAAGTATCGTTTTATTTTTCTTCACTTATCATAAGTATCTTTCTGGTTTCTCTTTTTTTTGGGAGGGGAGATGGAGTCTCACTCTGTCGCCCAGGCTGGAGTGCGGTGGCACGATCTCGGCTCACTGCAACCTCCGCCTCCTAAGTTCAAGCGATTCTCGTGCCTCAGCCTCCTGAGTAGCTGGAACTACAGGCGCGTGCCACCATGCCTGGCTAATTTTTGTATTTTTAGTAGAGATAGGGTTTCACCATGTTAGCCAGGCTGGTCTTGAACTGACCTCAGGTGATCCGCCTGCCGTGGCCTCTCACACTGCTGGGATTACAGGCGTGAGCCACTGCACCCAGCCTCTTTCTGATTTCTTTAATCTTCAAACAATGCAGCATTTTCTCCTGGGTCAAGGCGCCTTTGTTTGCTAAAACTCCCCCTGCTGTAGACGGCTCCACAGCAGATAACGTAGTTGCAGCATTTTTCTCTCAGAAGGGATTTCCTAAGGGAGGAGAGTATGAGTGGTTGTTGATATGTGGCTGCCTTGAGCTTTCTGAAGGATTAGGCTGCTTCCTTTGGTCATCCCCAGGCGCTCAGCATGGTAGGCCTGAGTGCTAGGCCTACCACTTGCTCACACCAGTGCCAGGCCTGAGTCCGAAGGCCTCTGCTCAGCCCTGAGAAGAAGGCCTGAGAGCCATGTGCCGGGTGCTTGTCCCGTAGGTCCCACAGGTCAGCTGGTGAGGGGGGACGCCAGTGGGAGGAGACATGGGTGAGGGAGGACACTGGCAAGAGACTCCGGGAGGTTGTATTGAGTGTAGATGGGGACAGGTACAGTTCACTGGTCATGCCCCAGAACAGGGACAGGACAGCCCATGGGGACCAGGCCACCAGTGCTGCACAATGCCTGTTATCTCTGCCAAGCTCCCCGTTTATCTCTGCTGGCCCACATCATAGTTATTTGTTAATTCTTTTCTCTCCCTCTCCATTTCAACCCTTTAAGGTCAGGGGCCTTGTTTTTCATTGCCGTTTTTCTTCTTTTTTTTGAGATGGAGTTTCACTCTTGTTGCCCAGGCTGGTGTGCAATGGCGTGATCTCAGCTCACCACAACTTCCGCCTCCCAGGTTCAAGTGATTCTCCTGCCTCAGCCTCCCGAGTAGCTGGGATTACAGGCATGCGCCACCATGCCTGGCTAATTTTGTATTTTTAGTGGAGACGGGATTTCACCATATTGGTCAAGCTGGTCTCAAACTCCTGACCTCAGGTGATCCGCCCGCCTTGGCCTCCCAAAGTGCTGGGATTACAGGCGTGAGCCACCGCGCCCGGCTGCTGTTTCTCTTAACATAGAATCTAGCCCAGCATAGGAACTTAGTGTTCCAATTGGATCAGTCCATGCTCTGTCTCGTTACCTTTCTTTGGGCAACACATAGAAAGTTCTGGTTTGTTTATACCCCCGCCCTGTTCCAGAAAGGATGCAAGGAAGCTTACCATAAGTACACTGGGCCCAAATGACTAAAGCAAATGAAAACGGAGTGGTTAGGAAAAACTGGATAAAGAGGAAATGTTCAAGTTGAAGAGGGAGCTCGTACTCAGCTTTTATTTGGTGAACATTGCTGGGAGTTGGGCGTGGCTCTGGGCCTTTTTAGAACCAGGCAGAATGAGACGTGAAAATCATTTGCATACTCAGTGTGGTCAAGGTTAGCAGCAGCCTGTGGCTCTGAAGAAGTAGAATCACACGTGGTCCTGGAATCTGAGATTTCCTACAGCCCTCAGGAAGAGGGCACAGTATAGTAAGGAAGACCAGGATCGTCCATGAACTCCACAGTGAGTTTCACTGGGCTGTTCCTCCTAGGAGTTCTAATGTAAAATATGATGCCCACTGAAAGTAATTTAGAACAAAGTCTTAACCAGTGGAGAACCAAAATAGTGTTGTTCTGCGAACTCTTCCTCAGCTCTGGGTGGTATTTGGCATTTGTAAGAGCTGTGATTCTTAATTGGTGGTTAGATGCCATGCCAAAATTGTTACTGATTTGCTTTGAAATTTCAGATCATCTTAAAGGTGGGCATGAGAGTCTTTATCACAGAGGGATTAAATATGTGAAGTAGCAGTACTTGAGTAGCACGAATGAAGTGTATGTTCAGCCCACCTTCAGAATCAGGATTGGCCAGGCGTGGTGGCTCACGCCTGTAATCCCAGCACTTTGGGAGGGTGAGGTGGGAAGATCACTTGAGGCCAGGAGTTTGAGACCAGCCTGGCCATCATGGTGAAACCCCCTCTCTACTAAAAATATAAAAATTAGTCGGATGTGGTGGCACACCTGTGGTCCCAGCAACCTGGGAGGCCGAGGCACAAGAATCGCTTGAACCTGGGAGGCAGAGGTTGCAGTTAGCTGAGATTGTGGCATTGCACTTCAACCTGGGCGACAGAGTGAGACTCTATCTCAAAAAAAAAAAAAAAAAAAAAGGAATCAGGATTTTTCTCAGGTTTCTGGTAGGTGTTGTGATGAGTTTGAGGTTATTTTCTCTGAAAAGGACTTGAAGTAGTGCTTCTCTGAATCACTGGTGATGTATGGTGTCACCTGGCTTAACAGCCTGCTGAGGGAGGGAAGTATTAAAATCCTCCAGAAAAGATGAGTTGCCTAACCAGAACACATGTGGACATAGATGCCATCTTCACCCAGAAGGGGAACAAGGGGATCCCCTCAGGAAGAGTTTTGGAATCTGTCTTGGCACACAGGCAAAGGAGTGATTAGGGCCCTGAGTGTCTACACTTGGCTACAGAAGGCAAGTTTTTAGAGATTTATATCCACATGCTTGTTTTGGGCTCTAAAAAAGTTAAATGAGGCTGAGCACAGTTGCTCACGCCTGAGGCTGAGGTGGGCAGATCACTTTACCCCGGGAGTTCAAGACCAGCCTGGGTGTCACGGTGAAACCCCATTTCTACAAAAATTCACCAGATGTGGTAGCACGTGCCTGTGATCTCAGCTACTTGGGAGGCTGAGGTGGGAGGATAGCTTGAGCCCGGGAGGTTGAGGCTTCAGTGAGCCGTGATTGAGCCACTGCACTCCAGCCTGGGCAACAGAGTGAGACCCTGTCTCAAAAACTTTTTTTTTAAAGTTAAAAAAAAAAATCAAATGATAGATTCAGGAAGCCAAGTGAAGCCCAACATGATTAACCCAAAGCAATCCATGCCAAGACACATCATAATTAAACTTCTGGAAACTCAACACAAAGAAAAAAATCTTGAGAGCAATCAGAGAAAAAGGACAACTTACCTGTAGGGAAAAGACAATAAGAATGGTGGTAGATTTCTTTTTTTTTCTTTTTTTTTTTTTTGAGATGGAGTCTTGCTCTGTCGCCCAGGCTGGAGTGCAGTGGCATGATCTCGGCTCACTGCAAGCTCCGCCTCCTGGGTTCACGCCATTCTCCTGCCTCAGTCTCCCGAGTAGCTGGGACTACAGGTGCCCACCACCACACCCGGCTAATTTTTTTTTTTTTTTTTTGAGACGGAGTCTGTCGCTCAGGCTGGAGTACAGTGGTGCGATCTCAGTTCACTGCAAGCTCCGCCTCCCGGGTTCATGCCATTCTCCTGCCTCAGCCTCCCGAGTAGCTGGGACTACAGGCGCCTACCACCAGGCCCGGCTAATTTTTTGTATTTTTTTTTTTGAAACGGAGTCTCTGTCGCCCACTCTGGAGTGCAGTGGCGCAATTTCGGCTCACTGCAAGCTCCGCCTCCCAGGTTCACGCCATTCTCCTGCCTCAGCCTCCCGAGCAGCTGGGACTACAGGTGCCCGCCGCCATGCCCGGCTAATTTTTTGTATTTTTTAGTAGAGACAGGGTTTCACCGTGTTAGCCAGGATGGTCTCGATCTCCCGACCTCGTGATCCGCCCACCTCGGCCTCCCAAAGTGTTGGGATTACAGGCGTGAGCCACGGCGCCTGGCCAATTTTTTGTATTTTTTAGTAGAGACGGGGTTTCACCGTGTTAGCCAGGATGGTCTCGATCTCCTGACCTCGTGATCTGCCCGCCTCGGCCTCCCAAAGTGCTGGGATTACAGGCGTGAGCCACTGCGCCCGGCCAAATGATGGTAGATTTCTCATGAGAAACTGGACGCTAGAGCAAGTGGCAGGATATTTTTCAAGTACTGAAAGAAAAGAACTGTTAATCTAGAATCCTGTACCCAGTGACAGTATTGTTCAGGAATGAACGATATTGGACATTCTTTTTTTTTTTTTTTTGAGACGGAGTTTCCGCTCTTGTTGCCCAGGCTGGAGTGCAGTTGCACAGTCTCAGCTCATCACAACCTCTACCTCCCGGGTTCAAGTGATTCTCCTGCCTCAGCCTCCTGAGTAGCTGGGATTACAGGCATGTGCCACCATACCCGGTTAATTTTTGTATTTTTAGTAGAGAGGGGTTTCTCCATGTTGGTCAGGCTGGCCTTGAACTCCCACCTCAGGTGATCCACCCACCCTCGGCCTCCTAAAGTGCTGGGATTACAGGCGTGAGCCACTGTGCTCGGCCAATTTTTTGTATTTTTTAGTAGAGATGGGGTTTCACCGTGTTAGCCAGGATGGTCTCGATCTCCTGACCTCATGATCTGCCCGCCTTGGCCTCCCAAAGTGCTGGGATTACAGACGTGAGCCACCGCGCCCAGCCAAATGATGGTAGATTTCTCGTGAGAAACTGGACGCTAGAGCAAGTGGCAGGATATTTTTCAAGTACTGAAAGAAAAGAACTGTTAATCTAGAATCCTGTACCCAGTGACAATATTGTTCAGGAATGAACGATATTGGACATTCTTTTTTTTTTTTTTTTTGAGACGGAGTTTCTGCTCTTGTTGCCCAGGCTGGAGTGCAATGGCACAGTCTCAGCTCACCACAACCTCTACCTCCCGGGTTCAAGTGATTCTCCTGCCTCAGTCTCCTGAGTAGCTGGGATTACAGGCATGTGCCACCATACCCGGTTAATTTTTGTATTTTTAGTAGAGAGGGGTTTCTCCATGTTGGTCAGGCTGGCCTTGAACTCCCCACCTCAGGTGATCCGCCCACCTCGGCCTCCCAAAGTGCTGGGATTACAGGCGTGAGCCACTGTGCTCGGCCAATTTTTTGTATTTTTTAGTAGAGACGGGGTTTCACTGTGTTAGCCAGGATGGTCTCGATCTCCTGACCTCGTGTTCCGCCCGCCTTGGCCTCCCAAAGTGCTGGGATTATAGGCATGAGCCACCGCGCCCAGCCGAATGATGGTAGATTTCTCATGAGAAACTGGAGGCTAGAAGAAGTGGCATGATATTTTTCAAGTACTGAAAGAAAAGAACTATTAATCTAGAATCCTGTACCCAGTGACAATATTGTTCAGGAATGAACGATATTGGACATTCTTAGTCAAGACATTCTTAGATGAAAGAAAACTAAGTGCTGGGCGGGGTGGCTCATGCCTGTAATCCCTGCACTTTGGGAGGCCGAGGCGGGCGGATCACGAGGTCAGGAATTGGAGGCCAGCCTGACCAACATGGTGAAACCCCATCTCTACTAAAAATACAAAAACAATTAGCCGGGCGTGGTGGCGCATGCCTATAATCCCAGCTACTTGGGAGGCTGAGGCAGGAGTATCACTTGAACCCGGGAGGCAGAGGTTGCAGTGAGCAGAGATTGCGCCATTGCACTCCAGCCTGGGTGACAGAGCGAGACTCCAACTCAAAAAAAAAAAAGAAAAAGTAAACTATCCCCTGCAGACCTTCCCTAAAAGAGTGGCTAAAAGAAAGGAAATGATTGCCGGCATGGTGGCTCCCACCTGTAATCCCAGCACTTTGGGAGGCCAAGGCAGGCGGATCACAAGGTCAGGAGTTTGAGACCAGCCTGACCAATATGGTGAAACCCCATCTCTACTAAAAATACAAAAACAATTAGCCAGGCATGGTGGCGCACGCCTGTAGTCCCAGCTACTCAGGAGGCTGAGGCAGAAGAGTCACTTGAACCTGGGAGGCGGAGGTTGCAGTGAGCCGAGATCACGCCACTGCACTCCAGCCTGGGCAACAGAGCAAGACTCTGTCTCAAAAAAAAAAAAAAAAAAAAGAAAGAAAGGAAAAGATTAAAGAAGAAACATTGAGACATCAGGAAGGAACAAAAGAAAGCATGATAAGAAAAAATGTAGATAAATAAAATAGACTTTCCTCTCCTCTTGGGTTTAACAAATTATGTTTGACAGTTGAAGCAAAAATTGTAACAGTATCTGATACGGTTCTAAAGGTATGTAGAAAGATTTAAGGCTTTAAGGCTGGGCATGGTGGCTTATGCCTGTAATCGCGGCATTTTGGGAGGCCGAGGCAGGCGGATCACCTGAGGTCAGGAGTTCAAGACCAGCCTGGCTAACATGGCAAAACCCTGTCTCTACTAAAAATACAAAAATTAGCTGGGTGTGGTGGCGGGCGCCTGTAATCCCAGCTACTCGGGAACGGGAAGCTGTGGCAGGGATAATTGCTTGAACCCGGGAGGTGGAGGTTGTGTTGAGCTGAGATGACACCATTGCACTCCAGCCTGGGCGACAGAGCAAGACTGTGTCTCAAAAAAAAAAAAAAAAAAGATGGATAAAGATAAAACGTTAATCAAAGGAAAGCAGGAGTGACAATGTTAGTATCAGTAAGGCAGACTTCAAAGAAAATGACCAGAGACAGAGAAGGACATTAAATAATGGTAAAAAGATAAGTTCATCAAGACATAGCAATCCTAAATATGTATGCAGCAAACGACAGAGCTGGAAAATATGTGAAACAGTATCAGATAGAAATCAGATAGAACCAAAAGGAGAAATAAACAAATTCACAATCATTGGAGACCTCAGCATTCCTCTCTCAACAACCGATGGAACTGGATGGAAAATCAGCAAAACGATGTAAGATCAAAAACACTATCGACCAACAGAATCTGATTAGCATTTATAGAACACTCCAGCACAGCCGAATGCACATTCTTTTCAAGTGCCTGAGCAACATATACCATATAATCCGTATAATGGATCATAAAACAAGTTTTAACAAATTTAAAGAATTGAAACCATACAGAGTGTGTTCTCCAACCACAATTGACTCAAATACTTGTAAGCTAAATAACAGACTTCTAAATAATCTGTGGTTCAAAGAGGAAGTCTGTAGGGAAATTTAAAAACATACACAGACCTAAATGAAAATGCAGCATATCAGAATTTGTGGGATAAAGCTAAACAGTGCAATACAGATTATCTGTAGCACCAGTGCGTACATTGGAAAACAGGAAAAGCTTTCCTCAAGTCGATAATCTAAGCTCTAATCTCAAGAACCAAGAGAAACAAAACCAAAGGAAGCAGAAGGAAGGACATTTGAAGAGCAGAAATCAATGACATTGAAAACAGAAATCAAACAATAGAGAAAATTAATGAAAACTAGCTGGTTTTTTGAAAAATTAATAAAACTGGCAATCTCTAGCAAGGCTGACAAAAAGAATGTAAATTATCAATATCAGGAATGAAATGGGATGTCACCACAGACCCTGCAGATATCAAAAGGAATACTGCAAACAATTCTATAAGTTTGACAGCTTACACAAAATGGATTAATTTCTTGCAAAACACAAAGTACCACAACTCATCCAATGTCAAATAGATAATTTGAGTTGCCCTATAACTATTAAGGAAACAGAATTTGTAATTTAAAAACCCCAAAAAATGGCCAGGCACGGTGGCTCTTACCTGTAATCCCAGCTCTTTGGGAGGCTGAGGTGGGAGGATTACTTGAGGCCAGGAGTTCAAGACCAGCCTGGGCTACATAGCAGGATCCAATCTCTAATTAAATTTTAATATAAAACATTATTTTAAAAAAGGAAAACAATTCTCCCCCCCAAAAAAATCTCTGGGCCCATATGATTTCACTGGAGAATTCTGTCTATCAAATGTTGACGAATGAGTTAACACCAATTCTACACAATCTCTTCCAGAAAATGGAAGAGGAGAACGCACTTCCTGATCAATTTTATAAAGCTCGTATTACCTAGATACCAAACCTAAAGACAGTACCAAAAAAAGAAAAATACAGACCAATATCCTTTATGACTAAAGATGCAAAATCCTTAGCAAAATATTGCGAAATAGAATTCAGCAATATATAGAAATAATTATATACTGTGACCAAGTGGGATTTATTGCAGGGATGGAAGGCTGGGTCAATATTTGAAGCTCAATCAATGTAATCCACCATATTAACACACTAATGAAGAAAAATCACAGGATCAGATCAGTTGATACAGAAAAAGCATTTTGTAGAACTCAACACCTGATGATAAAAATGCTCAGAAAAATAATAGCAGGAAACTTCCTCCATTTAGTAAAGAGCATCTATTTAGTACAAAAAGTCCTGTTGCTATTTTTTTTTTTTTTTTTTAGACGGAGTATTGCTCTGTTGTCTAGGCTGGAGTGCAGTGGCATGATCTCAGCTCACTGCAAACTCTGCCTCCTGGATTCACACCATTCTCCTGCCTCAGCCTCCCTGATAGCTGGGACTACAGGTGCCCTGCCACCACACCCAGCTAACTTTTTGTATTTTTAGTAGAGACGGGGTTTCACAGTGTTAGCCAGGAATGTCTCGAACTCCTGACCATGTGATCCACCCGCCTCGGCCTCCCAAAGTGCTGGGATTACAGGCGTGAGCCACAGAGCCTGGCCTTCTGTTGCTAGCATTTAATAGTGAAAGGTTGCATGCTTTCTGCCAGAGACCAGGAACAAGCCAAATATGTCTGCTGTCACTATTCTTATTCAACATAGTGTTGGAAGTTCTAGCTAATCCAGTAAGCTGAGAAAAGGAAATAAAAGACGTGTAGATTGGAAAGGAAGAAATAAAATCCTATTTGCAGATGACATGATTGTCCGTGTAGAAAATCCCAAGGGATCTACAGAAAACTTGGAGAACTAATAACTGAATTCCCCAGGGTCACAAGATACAAGGGATACAAGGTAAACATGCAGAAATCCATTTTATTTCTATATGCCATTAATGAGTACCTAGACACAAATTAAAAATACATTACCATTTATCATCACTCAATAAAAAAAGGAATACTTAGGTATAAATCCAACAAAACATTTACAGGACTTATATACCAAAAACTATAAAACACTGACGAAAGTAATGAAGGAAGACCTAAATAAGTAGACATATCATATTCATGGATTAAAAGACTCAAGATGATGTCAGTTTTCCCCAAATTGATATACAGATTTAATGCAATTTCTGTGAAAATCCCAGCAAGATTTTTTTTGTAGATAAGATGGTTCTAAGATTTATATGGAAAGGCAAAGAAACTAAAATAGCTAAAGCAATTTATTTATTATTATTATTATTTTTTTTTGAGATGGAGTTTTGCTCTTTTGCCCAGGCTGGAGTGCAGTGGCATGATCTCTGCTCACTGTAACCTCCACCTTCCGGTTTCAAGCGTTTCTCCTGCCTTAGTCTCCCGAGTAGGTGGGATTACAGGTGCCCGCCACCATGCCTGGCTAATTTTTGTATTTTTAGTAGAGACAGGGTATTACCATGTTGGCCAGGTTGGTCTCAAACTCCTGAGCTCAGGCAGTCCGCCTGTCTCAGCCTCCCAAAGTGCTGGGATTACAGGCATGAGCCACCACACCCGGCCAGCAATTTTGAAAAACAGTAAAGTGGGAGTAATCATTCTACCCAATCTCAAGGCTTACTATATAGCTACGATAATCAAGGCTGTGTGGTATTGGTGGAGTGACATACCGTGATGGAACAGAATTGAGAATCCAGAAACAGACCCACACAAACGTGCCCTCCTGATTTTTACAAAGATGCAAATGTGATTCAATGGAGGAAAGACAGCTCATTCAACAAAATGGCACTGGAGCAATTAGACAATCATAGGCAAGTAGGCTGGCACAGTGGCTTACGTCTGTAATCCTAGCACTTCGGGAGGCTGAGGTGGGCAGATCACCTGAGATCACGAGTTCGAGACCAGCCTGACCAAGATGGAGAAACCTCGTCTCTACTAAAAATACACAATTAGCTGGGCGTGGTGGCGCATGCCTGTAACCCCAGCTACTCGGGCGGGTGAGGCAGGAGAATCGCTTGAACCTGGAAGGCAGAGGTTGCTGTGAGCCGAGATCACGCTGTTGCAATCCATCCTGGGCAACAAGAGTGAAACTCTGTCCCAAAAAAGCAACAACAACAAAAAAGGCTGGGCACAGTGGCTCACGCCTGTAATCCCAGCACTTTGGGAGGCTGAGGTGGGCGGATCACCTGAGGTCAGGAGTTTGAGACCAGCTTGACCAACGTGGAGAAACCTCGTCTCTACTAAAAATACAAAATTAGCCGGGCATGGTGGCGCATGCCTGTAATTCCAGCTACTTGGGAGGCTGAGTCAGGAGAATTGCTTGAACCCAGGAGGCCGAGGTTGCTGTGAGCCAAGATCACGCCGTTGCGCTCCAGCCTGGGCAACAAGAGCAAAACTCCGTCTCAAAAAAAAAAAAAAAAGGCAAAAGACAGGAAGAGAAATTTCACTAAAGAAGTTATATAGGTGGCAAATAAACATTGAAAAGCTTTTCCACATTGTTAGCCTTAGGGAAATGCAGATTAAAATTACACTGTTATTCCACATCTTTAAAAAGTGGTGACAGCATCAGATGCTGGCGAGGATGTGGAGGAACTGGGTCACTCACAAGCTGCTGATGGGAATGTAAAGTGGCTGGAAAACTGCCCTAGAAAACAGTGTGGCAATTTCTGTTAAAAACTAAACATGCGGCCAGGCGTGGTGGCTCACACCTGTAATCCCAGCACTTTGGGAGGCCGAGGCGGGCGGATCACGAGGTCAGGAGATCGAGACCATCCTGGTTAACATGGTGAAACCCTGTCTCTTCTAAAAATACAAAAAATTAGCTGGGCGTGGTGGTGGCTGCTTGTAGTCCCAGCTACTCGGGAGGCTGAAGCAGGAGAATGGCGTGAACCCGGGAGGCGGAGCTTGCAGTGAGCCGATATAGCGCCACTGCACTCCATCCTGGGCGACAGAGCGAGACTCCGTCTCAAAACAAACAAAAAACTAAACATGCAACCAGTGTACCTTGAGCATTTATCCTGGAGAAATGAAGACATGTTTATACAATAGCCTACACGTGGATGTTCATAGCAGCTTTATTTATAATAGCGGGAAACTGGAAATGATCTAGATAGCCTTCAGTGAGTGAATAGTTAAAGTGAGGCCCCTTCGTACCACAGAATGTCACTTGGCAGTAAAAGGAAGTGACAATCTGGATGAATCACTGGATACAGATACAGTCCTCTATCTTGTCTTTTTTGGAGGAAACTGGGCGCAGTGTGCATGGAATTTCTCTGTGTTGTTTCTTGCATCTGTACATGAATCTACAATTACTTAAAAATTTTAAAATGCTCTGGGCAGTGTATTCACTGGGTGTTTACCCCGTGCACCTGAGGTTCCTGCTGTTGCTGCCCCGCAGGCTGTTAGGATGCTGGTCTCCAGCGTGTCTTTAGGGCAGGGAGGAGATAGTGGGGCTGTGGTCTGTTAGGCCGACCTGCTTCTTGATGATGGAATCCTACTGTCTGCTCTGAGGCAATTTTTCTTGGCTTTTTCAGCTTATTCCTGCAAGGCGTCTTGTCAGTACGGTCTGGGTGGAGCAGGGAGAGAATGTTGACTGAGAGGACCTTGCTGAGGTCTGGCTGGCCACAGATGGTCCCTGTGAGCTCCCATCTGGTACAATTCCTTTTCCAGGATCCGGGATCTGTAGGGACCTCCACGCTTGTGACCTTGTTGAGGCCCTGCTGCTGCTACTGCAGTCACAGGCCTGGAAATCGCTGTGGCTTGGCACAGTGTGTTTTGCTCACATGAGGCCTGGTATTGGGCCAGCCTCTGTGCCATCACGTCTGCCACCAGTTCAGCACAGAGGGGAGTAGAGAGATGGCACGCAAGCTTTGATGTGCCTTTGCTGGCCTCGCCTGGATCATCTCATTAGTTGGGATAATCTCATGCGCCCACCCAGCTATGAGTGGAATGAGGGAAGTGTTTATGGCCATGACCACCCCCAGGGCATGGAGCAGGAGGTCTGTGCAGGATGAGGGCTGGGGGCCTGCTAGTCATGTGCTTCCTCCTTCCACTCCCAGTTTCCAGGAAGGCCACCCCCAGTGCCCTGGTTGTCCTCTCCTGCATCCGGAGATGTTTGGCTTCAAAGAAGAAGGGGTGAGGGAGGCCGGTCCATGCCCAAGCATGGTGCAATCTCTTGGCATCCCTTCCCTCTCCTGATTTCAGAGAAGTTGATGACGCCTGAGATGTTTTCAGAAATCCTCTGTGACGATCTGGATTTGAACCCGCTGACGTTTGTGCCAGCCATCGCCTCTGCCATCAGACAGCAGATCGAGTCCTACCCCACGGACAGCATCCTGGAGGACCAGTCAGACCAGCGCGTCATCATCAAGGTAGGTGACTTCTCACCCAGCACTGGAGCCTTCCTGGCCCTCAGGGTGGGTGTCATCATGGAGCACTGAGGGTACACCAAGGCCTCAGCAGAAGCCCGTCTTTGGGTTCCATATCATCTGGAAAGTCATAACACCTGGCTTTGCTCCCTGCAATCCCCCAGGAAGGGCATAGGCTGAGTTCTCATAGTAAAGTGTTATATTCCGGACACATTCAGGGGGTGTCTCTGAGGCACTGCCAGGCTCTGAGCAAAGCCCGGAGGTCTAGAGGAGGTGAAGGCAGCTGATTGGCTGGGCCAGGCTGAGTGCTCCAGGGGGGCCTAGTAACCCAATAAGATGCTGCCTTAGTGGCCATATTACAGGTGAAGAGGTGGGCACGTGGAGAGCTGAGATCACCTGCGGAAGTTGCAAACTGGCCAGTTGAGAAATGGTGAGGCTGGCGATTGGGCGCAGGCCTGCACCCTGCAGAGCCTATAGCATAATCCTTGCTGTGCTGAGCCGCCACTGCCAGACTATGCCTTGAGGGTGAGGGGAGCTTTGAAAATAGGAAGATATGAGAAGTAGGTGAAATTGGCACATGTGATGACCCTAAAAAGGTCAGTGGTTTGGTTAGATCTGATGCTGTGCCTTTGGCTTCCATTTTAGGAAAACATTGATGTATAAAAATAAGAGCCATGTTACAAAGGGTTCCTGAAAATAGTCTTTGGGGTCGAGGAGCCTCGGGAGGGATGCCTCCTGTGACTGAGGGATGCCTCTGCCCCGTGCACCAGATGGAGCCTGGGCCGACTTCTTCCCACTGTGGTTCTCCGTGGCACTTTACTAAGATTTTGGAAAATAACGTGGGGGAATCACCAGCAACTTCCTCTGTGGTCCCCCAAGTAACAAACAACTAAATATCTTATTTAGTTAGTCAAGACAGTCTCACTGTGTCGCCCAGGCTGGAGTGCAGTGGCTCGATCTTGACTCATTGCAACCTCCACCTCCCGGGTTCAAGCAATTCTCCTGTCTCAGCCTCCTGAGTAGCTAGGATTACAGTTGCCCGCCACTAAGCCAGGCTAATTTTTGTATTTTTAGTAGAGACAGGGTTTCACCATATTTGTCAGTCTGGTCTCAAACTCCTTACCTCAGGTGATCCACCCACCTCAGCCTCCCAAAGTGCTGGGATTACAGGCATGAGCCACCGCACCTGGCCGAAATACTTTGGGTGTGTGTGTGTGTGTGTGTGTGTGTGTGTGTGTGTGTCGCAGTCTCACTCTGTCGCCCAGGCTGGCTTGCAGTGTGCGATCTCAGCTCACTGCAAGCTCCGCCTCCTGG
This sequence comes from Homo sapiens, assembly GCF_000001405.40. Lineage (NCBI taxonomy): Eukaryota > Metazoa > Chordata > Mammalia > Primates > Hominidae > Homo > Homo sapiens. The sequence continues at coordinate 54,610 of NT_187633.1, forward strand.
GTTCACACCATTCTCCTACCTCAGCCTCCCAAGTAGCTGGGACTACAGGCGCTTGCCACCACGCCTGGCTAATTTTTTGTATTTTTTATAGCAGAGACTGGGTTTCACCGCGTTAGCCAGGATGGTCTCGATCTCTGGACCTCGTGATCTGCCCACCTCGACCTCCCAGAGTGCTGGGATTACAGGCATGAGCCACCACACCTGGCCAATACTTTGTTTTCTTGATTAATATTTTAAAATTGTGGTAACATTCATAACATAAAATTTACCATTTTAACCACTTAAGTGTAAATTCAGTGGCAGTATATTCACATCCATGGCTGTGTAATTATCACCACCATCCATCTCCAGAATTCTATCATCATGTAAAACTGAAACTGTCCATCAAACACTAACTCCCCATTCCCCCTCCCCCCACCCCTGGCAAGCACCATTCTGCTTTCTGTCTCTATGAATTTGACTACTCGAGGTGTCTCATTTACATTCCTAAGGGAATCATGCAGTATTTGTCCTTTTGTGACTGGCTTATTTCACTTAGCAGAATGTCTTCAAGGTTCATTTATGTTGCACCATGTCAGAATTTCCTTCCCTTTTTAAAATGTATTTATTTTTAGACAGGGTCTTACTCTGTTGCCCAGGCTGGAGTGCAGTGGCGCAGTTATGGCTCACTGCAACCTCTGCTTCCTGGGCTCAAGTGATCCACCCGGTGCAGCCTCCTGAGTAGCTGGGAAGCTAGGACTACCGGCACACTCCACCACACCCGACTGATTTTTTGTATTTTTTTTGTAGAGATGGGGTTTCGCCATGTTGCCCAGGCTGGTCTCAAACTCCTGGGCTCAAGCCATCTGCCCACCTGAGCCTCCCAAAGTGCTGGGATTACAGGCGTGAGCCACTGCGCCCAGCCTCCTTTCTTATTAAGGCTAAATAATATTCTGTTGTATGGATCTATCACATTTTTATTTATTCATCCCTAAATGGACAGACACTTGGGTTGCTTCCACATTTTGGCTATTGTGAATAATGCTGCTATGAACCTGGGTGTGCAGGTATCTGTTGGTGTCCCTGTTTTCATTTATTCATTCATTCATTCATTCATTCATTTAGATGGAGTCTCACTCTGTTGCTCAGGCTGGAGTGCAGTGGCGCGATCTTGGCTCATGGCACTCCTGCCTCCCAGGTTCAAGCAATCTCCTGCTTCAGCTTCCTGAGTAGCTGGGATTACTGGCACCCACCACCATGCCCAGCTAATTTTTTTGGATTTTTAATAGAGACCGGGTTTCACCATGTTGGCCAGCCTGGTCTCAAACTCCGCCTCAGCCTCCCAAACTCAAATGATCTGCCCACCTCGGCCTCCTAAAGTGCTGGGATTATAGGTGTGAGCCCCTGTGTCTGGCCCCTGCTTTCATTTCTTTTGGGTGTATACCTAGAAATGGAATTCCTGGATCGTACAGTAATTCCATGTTTAGTTTTTTGAGGATCCACTATACTGCCTTTCTCGGTGGCTGCACCTTTTATATTCCTACCAGCAAGGCGCAGGGGTTCCAGTTTCTCCACATCCTCACTCACACTTGTTAGTTTTTCTTTTCTTTTCTTTTTCTAGACAGAGTCTCGCTCTGTTACCCAGGCTGGAGTGCAGTGGCATGATCTTGGCTCACTGCAACTTCCACCTCCTGGATTCAAGCGATTTTCCTGCTTCAGCCTCTCGAGGAGGAGCTGGGACTACAGGCGCATGCCACCACGCCCGGCTAAATTTTGTACTTTTAGTAGAGACGGGGTCTCATCATATTGACCAGGCTGGTCTCGAACTCCCGACCACAGGTGATCCACCTGCCTTGGCCTCCCAAAGGATTATAGACGTGAGCCACTGTGCCCGGCCAGTTTGCCAGCATTTTTTTGAGGATTTTTGCATCAACATTCATAAGGGGTGTAGGTCTGTAGTTTTCCTTTCTTGTAGTATTTTTTGTCTGACTTAGGTATCAGGGCAATGAGTTAAAGAATAGTTTGAGAAGGATTGGTGTTAGCTCCTATTTAAATGTTTGGTAGATGGCCGGGTGCAGTGGCTCACGCCTGTAATCCCAGCACTTTGGGAGACCGAGGCGGGCGGATCACCTGAGGTCGGGAGTTAGAGACTACCTGACCAACATGGTGAAACCCCGTCTCTACTAAAAATACAAAAATTAGCCGGGTATGGTGGCACACACCTGTAATCCCAGCTACTCAGGAGGCTGAGGCAAGAGAATTGCTTGAGCCCGGGAGGCGGAGGTTGCAGTGAGCCGAGATGGTGCCACTGCAGTCCAGCCTGGCTGACAGCGAGACTCTGACTCAGTCAGTCAATCAGTGTTTGGTAGAATTCACCAATGAAGCCATCAGGTCTAAGGCTTTTCTTTGTCAGGAAGATTTTATTATTGATTCAGTCTCTTTACTTGTTAATACCTTTTTGAGAGGAATACAAATTTGTTTCAGTTTCACATTATGGCCAGCTAGGAGGAAAAGAAGGGACAATGGTAGGAGAGAAGTGGGGTGGGGATGGGAGTGGCAGCAAGCACCTGGCCTGTGTCCTGCATACGGTCTGCTGGCTCTGGAGGGCAGCCCTGAGGGCTCCACTCTGTGCTTCTCTTTGTCTTGTAAACATGTGGAGGATGAGGCTGTGTGGGCTAACCCACCCAGCCACGTGGTTCCAAATGACTGGGATTGGCCACACAAGGGGCCTCATGAAGCCTGACTGGTAGCTTCCCTTAACGTTTTTCTCAGAATTGAGCCCATTTTCATTGTTGTTGTCTTGACGGGGCCTGCAGAGGAGCCATACAGGAAGTTGCCCAGCAGCTGTAATCCTCCTGGGGCTGTTCCCTGCCCCACCAGAAGAGGCTTCCCCAGTGACCCTCTGACTTACCTGTGATTCCCACCTGGGGGATGGTGGCAGCTGGCAGGTTGAGAGACTGTCCCCAGCCAGGTGTCCTGCTCTGCCCTTTGGGTCAGACCAGATGTCACAGGGTGGACACAGCTGGCCCAGGGAAGCCTGTGTTATGTGGGACAGACTGCATTTTTCAGGCCAGAGGCCTCCTGGGCACCGTGACCCTGGGAACAGTGTCCTGTCTTGCCCATGAGGAATAGAAGGTCACACCCAGGGTTTCCCATCTATAATTGGGACTCAGAAGAGCTGGGTATTTCTTTCTTCCTTCCTTTTTTTTCATGGCTCACTGCAGCCTTGACCTCCTGGGTTCAAGTTATCCTGCCATCTTGGCCTCCTGAGTAGTTGGAACTATAAGCACGTACCACCATGCCTGGCTAATTTTTAAATTTTCTGTAGGAAATGGAGTCTCGGCTGGGCACCGTGGCTCATGCCTGTAATCCTAAGACTTTGGAGAGCTGAGGTGGGCAGATTGCCTGAGCTCAGGAGTTCGAGACAAGCCTGGGCAACATGGTGAAACCCTGTCTCTACTAAAAATATAAAAAATTAGCTGGGCGTGGTGGCACGTTCCTGTAATCCCAGCTACTCTGGAGGCTGAGGCATGAGAATTGCTTGAACCTGGGAGGCGGAGGTTGCAGTGAGCCAAGATTGCGCCACTACACTCCAGCCTGGGCAACAGGCTCTTCCCATCTCACTGACTCTGTCTCAAAAAAAAAAAAAAGAAAAAAGAGAAAATGGAGTCTCACTTTGTTGTCCAGGCTGGTCTCGAACTCCTGGGCTCAAGCAACTCTTCCACCTTGGCCTCCCAAACTGCTGGGATTACAGACATGAACCACTGTGCCTGGCCAGAGCTGGGTGTTTCTGTAAGGACGTCCTTTGTCTTGATCCTGGAACATGACTGAAGGAAAACAAGAATCTTTGGAGCCATGGCACATGAGGACCATCTCTCTCCTCAGAAAGAGTGCCTTAGGTTAGAGCAGCATCTTCCAGATATTCTTGGCAATGCTGGGACCAAAGCCCAGGCCTGGCTGCCCTTGCCAGGGCACCTGGCCCAAGTCGGCTTTGCCCAGTTCCAGCAGGGGTTGGGGGGCAGGGGAGGAAGCTGGGGACATGGTGCTGCTGCAGTTTGAGCCATCAGACCCTGTGGCACTGTCCAGGCCCCGTCCAGAGAGTGCATGGGGTGAGATGTGAGTCAGGGCTGGGGAGGTGGGCAGGGGCCTGGCCCTGCTGTGCACCTGCTTGGGAGTCCTGGCCCCGTCTTAGCTCTGTGAGTCCACCTGGAGTCCAGCACTCCTCACTACCCCACCAAGGCCACTGCCAGATGGCTCCCTTCCTCCCTCCCCGCCTTCCAGTAGAGGTCTCAGCATGGCAGCTCAGCCCATGTCTCTTGTCTGCCCAAAATACCGCAGAAGCTTCCCACATCCCTCTGTGGAAGCCAAGCCTGTCCAAAGGCCTCAGGGCCCTAACTGCTCTCTGCTACAGTCCCTCGCCACCCTCATCTCCTCCCTTTTCCCCTCACTGGGCAGATCCGGGTACCAGACCTTGGCTCCTCAGTCTTTTACATCTCTGTGTCCCCCACCTGGGACTGTTCTCCCCCAGGGAGCCACATTCCTGCTCCCTGGGCACATTCACTTCTTCCTAAAGGCCACCTTCCTAGAAGCCTTCCTGGCCTCCTGACTTCTGAGGCCAGCCTGGACTTTCTCCCCCTCCCTCCCTTTCCTCCCTGGCACTCCCGTGCTTTCTGGTACACCACATGCTCACTTAACCTACTTAGTGTCTGTCAGTGCCCCCACCAGCATAGCTTTTTTTTTTTTTTTTTTTTTTTTTTTTTTTTTTTTTTTTTGACACAGAGTCTCGCTGTGTTGCCCAGGCTGGACTCAAACACCTGAGCTCCAGTGATCTTCCCACCTCAGCCTCCCAAGTAACTGAGACTACAGACATGTACCACCTCACCTTTCTCAGAACAGCCTTTTGAATGTTTGTCTCTCTTGTGCCTCTCCTTGGTAGACACACAGTCTAGACTTTGGAATAAATGAATGTGTTAGTGACTGAATGGCAGGGGACAGGCAACTCCATCCATGAGCCCAGGGCAGGGAGGGCTTGCTGGGTGGGAGCCATGTGCCTATGGTCCTATGGGGTCCTGTTGGGTGGTTCCATGGGCTGTCTGCTGCTGCACGTTCTTTTTGGACCCAGCACCCACGTGGTTTGCTTGGCATTAGATTCCAGTTGGGAAGGGCCAGTGCCTCCGATTCCATTCATCATCAGGCGTGGGCGTATGTGGAGATAGCAAAGGACATGGGGGCCCGACTGCAGTCCCCATTGCCTGGCTGCATGCCGTGTACAGGACACTGCAGCTCTGCCCTCGGCTTCCTCCCTCTGCGTGAGGATTCCTTCATTCCCAGAACAAATACACCCTGCCTGTGCTAGAATTCCTGGAGGCAAATGATTCAGATTGTTTCAGACAGTCCTAAGTGCTGTGAAGAAAATAGGAGAGGTGCCAGCATGGTGGCCCGCACGTATAGTCGCAGCTACTCAGGAGACTCTCGGGGGAGGATCTTTTGAGGCCAGCCTGGGCCAACACAGAGAGGCAGCAGGGAAGCCTGCGGGGAACAGAAGGCTCAACCACAGGGTCTCTTCTCTGCCCAAAACACTTGATACATTGCCTGGGCCTTGTAGAAACCTTGTCTCTACAAAATATTAGCCAGACATGGTAGTGCATGTCCGTAGTTCCAGCTACTCAGGAGGCTGAGGCAGAAGGGTCTCTTGAGCCCAGGAGTTCAAGGCTGTAGTGAGTCATGATCATGCCATTGCACTCCAGCCTGAGTGACAGAGTGACATCCTGTCTCCAAAGGGGGAGAAAATGGAGAGAAGGGTGTGGAAAGGGGCTGATGGGAAGGGGAGCTCTCAGGAGCTGGCACTTTAGCTTAGACCAGGATGCTGAGAAGAGGCTGGTCCTGCCAGGTGAGGGGAAGAGCATTCTAGCAAGTGGGTGGTGATGTGCAGGGCTCAGAGGCACAGGGCTTTATGAACATGATCGGGGATTGGGGTACCCTAATCTCTAAAAGGAGGCAGAAGTCCCCGGAAGGGCTGGACTCCGAGGCAGTGGTGAGTTTTCCCTGCAGCTGCCCACCCTGATCCTTGACTTAAAAGCTAAGGGCCAACAATGAATGGGCAGGTGCACTGTGACCTGGTTGCCCTGTGGAGCACTGGATAGCAGTGAGGGATGACCCCAGCCCCACACTCTAATGGGAGGAGTCTTGCAAGCATGATGCAGAGTGAATGAACCTGGACCCCGAAGTGTCCATCCTATTCAGAACAGCCACACCTACTCAAGGGGTGAGAAGTCAAAATGGTGCCTCCCCAGGGGGGCAGGTGTAGGTGGGAGCCCCTGGGGTACAGTCTGTGTTCTCTCAGCTGGGTGCTGGCTTCCCAGGTGTCCACTAGTGGAAAACCCCTGACAGCACACCCGGGGCCTGGGCCCTCTGGCTGTGAGTCACGTGCTGCAGGGAGTCCTCTGGGGAATGTGGAGGAGCTGGCCCAGCACTGTGATCCCTGCAGGCTTCCCTGTCCCCTCACCGTGTTGACCCAGAGTGGGGTGCATCTGTGAACACGCTAGGCAGGGTTTTCCGAGAGGGGCAAGCTCTGTAAAGGGCATAGACATTGGCTCAAGACAGGGCTTAGGGATGCCTTAGCTGAGCCCTGCCTTTCTGGTGTAGTCACGTAAGACCGATGGCAGCAGGAGCGAAGGGCAGAAAGGAAGGTCCCCACCAGCACAGGGCACAGGGGAGATGGGATGAAGGTAAGGTGGGACTCAGGTGCCCCCGGGGTCACTTCAGGGCCTCCCGAGGGTGACTGTGCTGGGCCCTGAGCCAGAGCCCCTCATGGCAGACAGGGTTGTGGGGTCAGCCTTGTTTTGGGGATGGGGAACTGGAAGGACAAGGACCACCTGCAGTTCTCAGCTGGTGGACCCTGGTGGGCAGGGCCCACCCCAGGCCTGGCAGGGCCCCGCTCCTCGCGGCCTCCCTGGGCTGCAAAAGCTCTAACTTGTGTCCTTTGGTTGTTGCCTCAGCTGAACATCCATGTGGGAAACATTTCCCTGGTGGACCAGTTTGAGTGGGACATGTCAGAGAAGGAGAACTCACCAGAGAAGTTTGCCCTGAAGCTGTGCTCGGAGCTGGGGTTGGGCGGGGAGTTTGTCACCACCATCGCATACAGCATCCGGGGACAGCTGAGCTGGCATCAGAAGACCTACGCCTTCAGGTAGGATCATGCATGAGTCTCTCCCTCCCTCATCTCCCTGCAAAACTGTTTTGAGAAAGACTTCTCTGTGTGAGCGGTGATACCTTTGAGGCTTTCTCACGCTTCGCAGCACAATCTGGCTGGGGTCTGTGTGTTTGCTCCGTCCTCCTCCTGCCCTATGTATCTCTCCAGGGCTCCGCTGTGCCAGGTAGGGTTAGAAGCACCTAACACAATAGCTGGCAAAGACTTGGAGTTCTGTCAGGGTGAACCTCAAGTCCTTGCCTCCACGGAGCCCTGGCCTGCCCCCACCATCCACCATTCAGTTGTCCTGCCCCACACCCTCTCTCTCTGCTCTTGCCCAGACTGTTATTTTGGTCAGGGTGACCCCTGCCCAGGGTTCTTCATCTGTTGAACTTGAATTATGTCTTAAACACAAAGGCCCGCCCAGCTTTTGAGAGTCAGGGGTCCCTAGCAGCTCCTTCTTACTCTAGTATCTCTGCCTTTGGTCAGTCAGAGAGCATTTGATGAGTACCATGCTGGGCTGGACCCCATCCTGGCTGCCCTGGAAGATAGAGACAGGTCACCTTGATCCCTGCCTGTAGCATTTGGGCTGGCTGAGATGGTGGAAGTGTGAACAGAATATTCCAGTCCAGTGTCCTCTGTGGTAGGGATGGGGATGGACCCGGGAGAGGCCCTCCTGTTCCTGGCAGGAGGTGGGACTCAGAGTTAAAAGTGAGGTCAAGGCCCAGTGCGATGGCTCACACCTGCAGTCCTAGCACTTCGCGGAGCTGAGGTGGATCACCAGAACCCAGTAGTTCAAGACCAGCCTGGGAAAAACATGGTGAGACCCCACCTCTACAAAAAAAAAAAAATAGAAAAAATGAGCCGGGCATGTTGGTACATGCCTGTAGTTTCAGCTACTCAGGAAGCTGAGGTGGGAGGATCGCCTGAGCTCAAGAGGTGGAGGCTGCAGTGAGCCAAGATCACACCACTGCACTCCAGCCTGGGTGACAGAGCGAGACCCTGTCTCCAAAAAAAAAAAAAAAAATAGCGAGGTTGAACTCTCCCGGCTCAGCAGGACTCTAGGACTGGGAAGCCCCGTGGTTCCTCACCCTGTCCTCTGTGTTGGGATGGGGTGGGGGTGCAGCAAGCATCCCTACATCAAAACAGGATGTTCAGATTTAGTCTGCTCATCAGACTATCATCATCCACATCTGCAGTCATCACTCAGGGATGACAGCTTAAAATGCTACATGAGGAGCAAATAGGAAGGTCTGTTTTGCAAAGCCATGACAATTAATGGAGCTCGTTAGGTTTGTGTCTAACTTGTTTTCCCAGACATCCCAAGAGACAGCTTTCTATGACTTCCCATAAATCTGAGCAAGGAAGAAGGAATGAGAGCCACCCACGGGGCTCAAGGGCCCGGGCCTGGGAAACAGCTGAGTCCCTGCCTGAGCGCCATGGTGCTGAGATCCTGTGACCTGCCCCCCAGCAGCCCTGCCAGTCACATGGTTCTGCTTCACAGACAGGGCAGCCCAGAGAGGAGGCTGGGGGGCTGGTGTCTGATGCCTCCCTGTTCCCTCGGGGTGTTGCCTGGGAGTGCAGCTGTAGCGTGCATTCACCCTGCACAGAGCCAAGCCCTATGGCCGGAGAGCCAGTCAAGGGTGGCCTCCCTCCACCAGAGTTGACTCTGAGGCCCCGGGAGGCAGTCATGTTGCGCGCATCAACACTGAGCACCTCCTCCCGCAGAGGCTGATCCAGTCAGAACCCTCGTCTTGGGCTCACAGGTGCAGGTGGTAGGCTGGCTGCCCCCAGCATCCAGCCCCTACGGTGTTGACCTTCACCTAGTCCTGCAGCCGCTGCCAGTGCCCACAGTCCAGGGTCAGGAACTGAAGTCCCCGGGGCCTCTTGACAGGTCCTTGCAACATCCCTTCTTTCAGCCACCATGGCACCATCCCTCCTGCTCTGACCCGAAGGTGACCTGAGCCTAAATTCCTTTCCAAGTTCCGGGCCCTCTGCAGTTTGCAGAGTGGCTCCAGAGCAGACCCCCTGGGGAGTCCCTGGTGGTGGCAGGTCAGGATTTAGAGGCAGAGGCGGGCCCCTTCTTTATCTCATCGACCACTTAGTGCATTCCAGTTGCAGGGCCTGGGGGCATCACAGACCCCCTGCCCCCTGCTCTCTCTTATGCTGAGAATGCAGGTTTCAAATCTTTGGGGTTAAAGGCAAAGGCCATCCCGCTGGGACCAAGGTGAGCACACGTCCCTATCACAGCAGCCAGATGGAGAGGCGGCCTGCCTGGGGAACTGGGAAGTGTCCTGAGTGGGCTTTTAGCATCAGGAGGGCTGCGTGTGTCTTCCCAGTCCCCACACTGGAAGACAGCTGCAAGGATAGGACAGGGCCTTAGGGTTGGGCTGTCATCCCTGACTCCAACTCGCGTTCCCCCCACTGTACCACCCCACCCCATGGGATCTTAGGAGGGACTTCGTTTAACTCTGTCCCCAGGGAGACCAGTGTCAGTCCTGCCTGGCCCTGCCTGGGGAAAGGAGGCTGGGCCACTGAGTCCCCAGGTCCAGGGGCCAGTCAGCCCACAGAGAGCTAGACCAGGAGTCCTGGCCTGGTCTCTGCCACACAGAAAGCTTGGCAACTGCTGTGTCACATGACTTTTTGTTTTGTTTTGAGATGGGGTCTCGCTCTGTCGCCCAGGCTGGAGTGCAGTGGCGTGATCTCGGCTCACTGCAAGCTCTGCCTCCTGGGTTCACGCCATTCTCCTGCCTCAGGCTCCTGAGTAGATGGGACTACAGGTGCCCGCCACCACGCCCAGCTAATTTTTGTGTTTTTAGTAGAGACGGGGTTTCACCGTATTAGCTAGGATGGTCTGGATCTCCTGACCTTGTGATCCACCCATCTCGGCCTCCCAAAGTGCTGGGATTACAGGCGTGAGCCACCGCGCTCGGCCACATGACTTCTTAAGAAGGGTTTTCAGGCTAGGCATGGTGGCTCACGCCTGTAATCCCAGCACTTTGGGAGGCCGAGGTGGGCGGATCACCTGAGGTCAGGAGTTAGAGACAGGCCAACATGGCAAAACCCCGTCTCTACTAGAAGTAGAAAAATTAGCCAGGTGTGGTGGTGGGCACCCGTAATCCCAGCTACTCGGGAGGCTGAGGCAGGAGAATTGCTTGAACCCGTGAGGCGGAGATTGCAGTGAGCTGAGATTGCACCATTGTGCTCCAGCCCGACAGAGCTAGACTCCATCTCAAAAAAAAGGGTTTTCAGCTCTGGACCTAGGTCACTCCATAATGGAAGCACTCGCTGATTCCCCAAGAGCCAGTCCCTCCATCTCTCCCAGCCAGAGCTCAGTGCCTGACTTCCATACCCTCCTCGGCAGTGGGGACATTGATTGGATCCATGGTACAGTGGGGCAAGCTGCTGGCCACAGGACATGTGTGTGCAAGGCCACTATGCCCACACCTCAGGGGAACCAGGGCAGAGAACAGCCTGTTCCCTTTGGCAGTGGGACAGACAGGAGACAAGCATGAAGGGGAAACAGGGGCATGTGACAAACTGGTCAGAAGCCCTAGGCTCCTAGAGGACAGACTGGGACCAGAGTGACACAGGCGTCCCAGAGCCAGTGGAGTGGGATGAAGGGCCAGCGAAAGGAGGGAGACAGGGCTCAAGGGGAAGGAGGCTGGGCTAGGCAGAGCCTCTGAGGAGAGCTGATCCTGCAAAGTTACTGGCACCTCCCCTGGGCCAGCCCTGTGTTCCTGGCCAGGGACGGGAGGAGACAGTGCCCTGTCTGGCAGAGGAAACAGATTCATGTGCATGACTATCAGTGTGCCATGGCCACAGAAAGCACCGGAGGCTGTGGGCATGAGGAAGGGCAGTTGGGGGCATAGAACCTGGGGTGAGGATGGCCAGGGCAGGTGCTGATGGGGGACTGCAGCAGGAAGGACCGAGAGGAGACCAGGGACAGGCAGGTGCTTGAGAAGGAAGGTGGGCCCTGTGGATCAGGCAGGGTATCTGCCCCAGGGGGCTCTGCACACCAGCAGTCCTACACGTACAGGGTGGGGATGAAAAGAGACTAAGGGTCAGGGAGCTTGGTAGCTGGGCCTGCATGAGGGACAGAGAGGCAGTGTCCCTCTGATGGCACAGCATCAGGAATTAGGCTGGGGTATGTCAGGTACACGTTGGGCTGGTTGAGCGTAAGCCTCAGGTTCCTTCCGAAGCTCTGCCCGCCAGCCCTGGCCTGATGTCAGGTTTTGTTTGTTTTTTTAACAGCTTTATTGTGATATAATTCATAAACCATACAATTCACACATTTAGAGTATATAGTGCAGCGGTTTTTGATATATGCAGAGAGCTGTGTAACTATCACCACTGTCAATTTTAGGACTTTTTCATCACCCCACTGCAGGCAGTCCCGTTCCTCCCCGCTGTCTCTCAGCCCTAGGTGTCCACTCATCCACTTTCTATCTGTAGATTTGCCTATTCCGGGTACTTCATAGAAATGGAACCATCTAATATGTGGTCTTTTATGACTGGCTTGTTAGCATAATGTTTTCAAGGATTATCCATGTTGTAGCATCTTTTATCAGGACTTCATTCTTTTTTATGATTGAATATTATCTCATTGCATGGATATACCACATTTTATTCATTCATCAGCAGATTGACTTTTGGGTTGTTTCCATTTTTCAGCTATTGTGAGTACTGCTGCTGAGAACATTTGTGTATGAGTTTTTGTGTGAACATCTGTTTTCAATTTTCTTGGATATATACCCAGGAGTAGAATTGCTGGGTCACGTGACAACTCAGTGGTTAGCATTTTGAAGAATTTCTAGACTGTTTTCCAAAGTGGCTGCACCATTTTGCATTCCCACCAGAAGCGTGCGATTCCCGTTTCTCTGGATCCTGCTGGCATTTGCTGTTCTCTTTTTGATCGTAGCCGTCTGAGGAGGTGTGAAGTAATTGTGGTTTTGATTTGCATTTTTCTAATGACTGATGATATTGAGCATCTTTGCATGTATTTCTGGCTGTTTGTGTATCTTCTTTGGAGAAAGTGCTTTGCTAGTTTCTTAATTGGGTTTTATTTTATTGTTGAGTTGTAATTGTTCTTTATATATTCTACATAGAAGTCCCTCATCAGATAGATACATGATTTGAAGATATTTTCTCTCATTTGGAGGATTGCCTTTTCACTTTCTTGATAGTGTTCTTTGAAGCACAAAAGTTTTCATTTTGATGTAGTCCAATTTATCTTTTTTTTTTTTTTTTTTTTTTTTTTTTTTTTTGAGACAGTCTCGCTGTGTCACCAGGCTGGAGTGTAGTGCTGTGATCTTGGCTCACTGCATCCTCCGCCTCCTGAGTTCAAGTGATTCTCCTACCTCAGCCTCCCAAGTAGCTGGGACTACAGGCACCTGCCACCACACCCAGCTAATTTTTTGTTTTTAGTAGAGACGGGGTTTCACCATGTTGGCCAGGATGGTCTCCATCTCTTGACCTCATAATCCGCCCGCCTCGGCCTCCCAAAGTGCTGGGATTACAGGTGTGAGCCACTGCACCAGGCCTGTAATTTATATATTGTTTTAGTTTGTTGCTAGTGCTTTTGGTTTCATATCTAAGAATCCATTGTCAATCCAGAGTCATGTTGCCCCAGCACCATGTTGAAAACTGCTCTTCCTCCATTGAGTGGACTTGGCACCCTTCTAAAAATCATTTGAGGCTCCTGGCGGCCTCGGAGGTGTGAATTGCAAACATAAGGGTGACACCAAGTTTTGGCATCTCCCCTTCCTGGTCGAGTGGCTGTGGACAGGTCATTTTCCCTTGAAGTCTGTATTTTGTCATTTGTAACTTGGGGATAATACTTGTGTGTTGCATCACATGAGGTCATGAAAGTGAGATCACATTGAAAGTAAACCTCAAGATACTCGACCGGCATCAGTCCTGGCTCCCTCTGTCCCTCAGACGTGAGCATCCCCTGCCTGGGTATCTTTGTCCCCACCTGGACACTTTGGGTGGTAGGAAGGTCTGGGGTCCCTGGCGGCTTCGAAGCCCGTGAACCAGAATTCCCTGGAAGGAATGGGGAGCAGGGTGGCTCCCAGGGTCCCCAGCACTCTTTGGAACTCAGGACAGCATCTCCATGCCCACATGCCCCCAAAACCCAAGGCAGGCTAGTGCTGGCTCTAGGCCCGTTCTTACATGGTTGGTGCGAGCATTTCTTACTTTAGAACAAACCCACTGGAGTGGAATATTCCCAGCATCAAGGGGAGGTAAACAAAGGACCCTCTGGGACCCACTCGCCAGCTCTTGTTTAAGAGGAAAACATGTTTTGCTCCCCTCGTTGTGGGCTTGGTACCTTTCACGTCTGCCCTCCAAGGAAGGCTGCTGGGAGCCCTCACGGTGAGGAATGATGTTTGGGGTCTGAGGCTAGGGTGGTCCCTAGACTGCTAAACCACCCGGTGCTGGCCAGGGACCAGCTGTCAGGAGCTGCTGAGGATGGGTCAGCCCCAGAGGGTGGGGGTGCCGACATTGCCTCTGGCCCTGCCTCTGCGTCACCAGTACGAGCTTGAGCTTCTGCGACTCATGAGCATGGACCTGGTGGGCTGAGCTTCAGCTGTGAGGGGTCAGGCCTGCTGCAGGGAGAGCCAGCTGCAGCCAGTGCCCTGCGCTGTGCCCACAGTCCCTGAGACCCCAGGCTGAGGAGAGCAGCACTGAGCCCAACCTGGAACGGGCTCACGGCTACTGGAGCTGGGTGTGTGCTCACTGGTGTGGATGTGCAGAGCCGGGACTCGCTCTGCAAGCAGGCTGGTCCCACAACCTTGAGCCACCCACTACAGGGAGGCTGTGAGAAGGTCCCTGGCCCCTAGGAAGCTCCCTCAGTGGAGATGTTTTGGCTGCTTTAATAACAGTCATCCTTCCAAAGCCCTTCACAGCAATAAATGTTTCCATATTCCAGATGAGGTTTGCAGGGACCTGTCCTCTCTATCAGTGTCCACCTGGCGCCTCCCCCGAGTCCGGCCTGCCCTTGCTTCTCCCAGAGCTCATGGTGTTTTTCAGGGCCGCAGGCTGGCAGGGTGTCCTTCTCCCAGGGGACTGAGCCTAGGGAGAGCCAAGTGGAGGTGCCCAAGTGGAGGAGAAAGGAAAGGACCACAGAGAGGGGAGGGGAAGTGGGAGAGTCATGGTTAGGACCTCAGGCTGAGGCCTTCTGCCAAGCCAGGGGTCTGGTGTCACTCAACTGGGAAACACTGTCAGCACCCAAAGCTGCTCTCAGAGGTGGGGGTGACGGGACCACTGCATGTGGGAGGCACACGGGCCCTGTGGCATCCACAGCTGTGGTCTCCTTAGTGTCCTGTCACAGACTTGCAAATCAAAGCCCAGAGAGGCGGCAGCCAGCCACCCTCCCACCTCCCCAGCACTCCTGTGCCCACCCCATGCCTGTTTAGCCTCTGCCCTTGCTGCCCCCTTCCTCTGCTGTGTCCTTTTGGCAAGAGGAAGGTACCTCGGGGCAGATTTGGGTGGTCCTTGTGAGACCCAGGGCAGAGTGTGGTCCGGGGATACGGCTTCTGTCCAGCTCCCTGCCAGACAGCTGTCTGATCCTAAGCACAGACCAGCCTCTCGGGGGTTTTGTTCGGCCAGGAGGTGGGCTGAGGGGCAAGTGTGTGGAACATGCAGGAACAGGCTGTGCAGTGGCCCTCAGTAGTGGGGGGCTGGGGACTTCTGGGAGACTCCTTTGCTCCCATTCGCCATCCATCCCCTTTCCCTGATCAGTGGGCCCTGGCTCTGGACACTGAGTGGAGCAGACAGTCCTCCTGCCCCTATAGGTTCCACCTCCTGACTGGCACTGTGGCATCAGCATGGTCCAGCCCGTGCTGTCCTGTCAAGGACCACCTCCACAGCCAGTGGCCCCTTCCTCCATCTCAGAGACAGAGAGACGCTGGGCACAAAAGCCCTGTTGAAAGTTCACTTTGAAGGGAAGCCCATGGGGTCATGGCGACAACACTTGTTATGGAAAGGCCCTGGCGCCTCCAGCAGCTCCCTTGAGGTTCAGGTGACTGGAGCATCCACTGGGTGCCAGCAGTGCTGCTGGGAGGAGCAGGGCACAGACAGGGGCCAAAGCTTTCTGAGGATTCTCCATCTATAGCTGGAAAAGTCATTCCTCTCACTGCCTCCCCTCCTCGTAGCGAGAACCCTCTGCCCACAGTGGAGATTGCCATCCGGAACACGGGCGATGCGGACCAGTGGTGCCCACTGCTGGAGACTCTGACAGACGCTGAGATGGAGAAGAAGATCCGCGACCAGGACAGGAACACGAGGTACCCCTGGCCCTGTGGTCCTGGGCTCTGCCCACAGGCACCTGGCTTTCCAGGCAGAGGCAGGGCCATTGCCTTTCCCAGTCTCCCATGGTCTCTGAGACAGAGTACCTCTAGTGCTGCTAGAGGCAGGCAGGCTTCTGGGTGATAAGGCCCCATCCAAACGCCAGGGTATGTTTCCCTGCATGGAACAAACATAATTCCTCAGGCTGAGGGTCTGACCACAGCCCAGATCCAGGTTTTGGGGTCCCTGGAGTGATGAGCAGGGCCTGAGTGGCAGACAGGCGAGGCTGAGAGAAGGCTGGGTCTGACCCTGCTGGGGGCCCACATCCTGCCTCTGTTCCCACCCCTACACTTGGCTGCCCTGTAGAGCCTTGGGAAGGGCAGCGCCCAGGCTGGGAGCTGGCCCCGACTCATTGCCCTCCCCACTCCTCTTCCAGGCGGATGAGGCGTCTTGCCAACACGGCCCCGGCCTGGTAACCAGCCCATCAGCACACGGCTCCCACGGAGCATCTCAGAAGATTGGGCCGCCTCTCCTCCATCTTCTGGCAAGGACAGAGGCGAGGGGACAGCCCAGCGCCATCCTGAGGATCGGGTGGGGGTGGAGTGGGGGCTTCCAGGTGGCCCTTCCCGGCACACATTCCATTTGTTGAGCCCCAGTCCTGCCCCCCACCCCACCCTCCCTACCCCTCCCCAGTCTCTGGGGTCAGGAAGAAACCTTATTTTAGGTTGTGTTTTGTTTTTGTATAGGAGCCCCAGGCAGGGCTAGTAACAGTTTTTAAATAAAAGGCAACAGGTCATGTTCAATTTCTTCAACAGGTCATGTTCAATTTCTTCAAAGTTTTAACATAAAAATAATGAGAGCCAGGAGTGGGGCCGGGGCCTGGGGGGACGAAGGTGGTATGTGAACAAGGTTGGCACACAGGCCTCACCCTCCTCTGCCTCAGATTCCCAAGTGGGCAGGTGGGGGTGAATGGGGCTCCGGGTAGCACCTCAGCTCCTCTCAGCTCCCCTCAGCCTGTTCTCCTTCCAGACCCAGAGAGCTGAGAAGAGTAGCTGTGAGGCTCAGGGCAAGAGGCTCTCTGCCTTTCAGGAACAGCCCTAACCCTGCTCCCCTTGCTTGGCCTCAGGAAGGTGCCGCGAGCTCTCCTGCCGTCCCTGGGCCGCCCTGGCTCTGCTGTGTCCAGATGGTCAGGCTACTGCCAGCTGGGGCCTTGCTGCTCTGAAGTCCCCTGCGGAGGGCCCAGTCCTGTGTGGGCACTGCTGGGCTGTCGCCAGCCTGGGTGCAGGAGGGCTGTTCTAGCTCCAGTGGCACCCATAGCCAGGTCAGCTGGGGCCCTTTCCCACCCCAGCAGGTGCTGTGGCCTGGGCCAGCTCCTGCCTTACAAGCCAGCTGTGAGGAATATGGGAATAGCCCTCCCGGCCTGGTGCCAGCTCTTGGAGTTGACACGGTACAGGGAGGAGACACAGCCCAGGGTCCCTTCCCAGCCCTGCCTCCAAGGAGTTCATGTCCCCTCTGTTCTCATCTGTAATAGGGAGGTGTCCCCATTCTTCAGAATGGACACAGGATCTGGGAGGGCAGCAAACTGGCTCGCAGCTCCAGCCTTACTGAAGAGAATGGGCACAGATCCGGGCACAGATCCCAGCACAGACTGCTGCCACCCTCAGCTGTTGGCAGGTCCCATGCTGCCAGGGCAGGGCTAGGGTCAGAGGCTGCTGTGCTCCCTGGAAGTGGGGTAGGGCCCCATGTGGGGCAGAGGCAGAGCTCTGATTAGGGATTGGGGTTCTTGGTCGCTGAGATGTGAGAGGAGGGCTCCTTTGAGCACATGTTAGCATGGGACTCTTCCCAGGGAGTTTGCACTCAGGGCCTCTGCCCTCCATCAAAGAGTGGAACTCCCCAGAGCCCCATGCACAGCAAGGGGACAGCTGGGCCTTACTGGAAGGCCTTGAACAAAGGGGAAGATTCCCAGCCCAGCTGCTCTTAGACATGAACAGGTTTCATTGCTGAGGTGTTTGTTCTGTCCATGAGGTAGGAACCTCGGCAATGAAAGGGTGAGGCAGCCCTGTGTCTCCACAACTGGGGGGATGGAAGGAACCTTGGCTGCCTCACCCCACAGGTCGGGCAGGGCCACCTGGCTGGGAGGTGCCGGGAAGGCTGGGCCCTCACTCCTGACCGCCAGCTCACACCGCCGCAAAGCCATCTCCACAAGGTCTGGCTACAACACGGAGGGCAGACTCAACAGAGAACAGTGTTGTTACCATGAAAATGACAACCTGTCTTTGGAGGAGGCCCCGTGCCACTGAGCATCCAGAAATAAACCACAACATGGACAGGCTTAGAACAACAAGGAAAGCTGCCAGGTCAGAAGAGAAAAATGAGCCACAGGGGTCGGATAAGGCTCACACACGTCCTCAGCTAAAAAGGGCAGGAACAGAACCTTCCAGAAGTCCCTGCCTCACCCAGTCTCAGAACTCTGCTAAGGTGAAAACTTAGGCTCTGAGGTCATAGAAAGGGCAGAAGACCTAGTCCTGGCCCTCTTCTGCACCTGAATCCATGGGGCTTTGGCATCACCAGATGAAAAATGAGGCATACGCCCACCTGTCAGGGTGGCTGATGAGAGACAGGAGAGGCTAGATTGGCATCAGCCTGAAGGCACCACTGGCAGGAACATCTGTAGGCTGGTTTGGCACAACCTAGGAGACGCCTGTCCTGGCCCCAGCAGCCGAAATCTGGTGAACTTCCCCGCTGACTGGCAGGTAGCAGAGGCCTATGGTGGGCAGGACTTGCCCAAGGCCCTGGTGGGGCCAGGATGAGAACCCTGAGCCTGTCACCTGTGAGCTCAAAAGCTCTGCCTGGCAACCTGTGAGCTCAAAGCTCTGCCAGGCAACCATGGGCAGTTTCTTTGCCCTCTGTGGGCACCCCTATCCTACCACCTGCAGTTGGGCTGAGAGGCCACACTGAGTGAGGACGGGGCAGGCATAGAAGGATGTGGCCAGGTGAGATGGGGAAGCCAGTGCTGTGGGCCAAGAGACTGCAGCTCATTCTGTTTATTCAGGTGGGCCCTTGCATGGGCCCAGCCTTTAGGATGGGTTTTTTCTGCCCCAAGTAGGGGTCATGGGTAGGATGGAAGCTGCCAGAAGCCTCTTAGGCCTGGCCCTGGGTGGGGGTCACTGCTGCGGGGGTGGCAGATGGGGTCCTGGCTGTTCCTCAGGGAGGGGCAGGTAATTGGGGTCTTCTGCAGGGGCATCCAGGAGCAGCTTTCTGTGGGGAGGGGCCCGTGTTGAGCACAGGCCAGCACAGGTCCCCATCGGTGGGGATCCTTCTGAGGGTGGGGAGAGGGAGGGAGGGCTCTCAACACTCACAGGAAGCCAGGGGTCTGCAGGAGCCTCTTGCCTCCAGGCTGGTTGGGGAAGACGTCCTCCAGGAAGTAGTAGATATGGCCCACCGCAATCCCTGTGAGACAGCCACGGACTGTGGGGTCACCCTCCACAGCCCAGAGTCCTAGACCAGCAGAGCCTGCCCCAGGCCCCCATCCACAGCCTGGTGGCCCTGCAGGCCCCACAGCATGAGTGCCCCAAAGCCTTGCACAGAGTGCCAGCCCCGGGTTGGCCGTGAAGGACAAGCTTAAAAGGCCCAGAAGCAGGCAGGACCCAGGGAGGGGAGGGCCTGAGAATAGTGGAGGAGTGGGAGCCATGGGGCAGGAACCCTGACCCTCCCATCCTCACTCCCATCAGGACCGTGCAAGCATCAGTAGATCCGTCCTGACGATGCAAATTATGTGGGCCGGCTGGCTTGAGGGGCTGTAAGAGCACAGCAGCTGGGAGGGCAGGAAGATGGGGATGGAGCCAGGTGTGAGGAGAACTCCAGCAAGGATGGGAGAGGGGCCCCAGGGCATAAGCAGCGTGTCCTGAGGGGAGTGGCCAGCCTGGGGCGGACTAGATGTACCGGGAGGCTCACCCAGCAGGTCCACGAGGATGGAGTTGCCCAGCAGCAGCGAGAAGCCCATGAGCGCCCAAGGCAGGAACGGTGCCTGGAAAGTGAGCAGGCCGAAGAAGTTGACCCTCACCCGAGGGCTGCGGCGGCTCCACACGTACACCAGCATGGCCATGAGGGCCTGGCCCAGGAAGAACAGGCTGCCCAGGAGTCCCAGCAGCTGGGCCAGAGTCAAGGTGCTCCGGTGCAGGCCTCAGCCCAAGCCCAGGGCCCCTCTGACTTCCCAAGACCCTGGAATTCTTCCCCTCATCTCCCCTATGTGCTATTCCCTCATCAAGATGAGCCAGTCCAATAAAGGCGACACACTCCACGGGCTTCAGGTCCCACGAAATCTGCCCTGCACACCTACAGCCTCATCCCAGGGCCCAACCACTGCCTGTCCCTGCCCCAGTTTCTCCCGGCTACTCGCATTCAGGGCTCAGCTAGTGGCCCTGACAACCCACCTGGCTCTTTTGTGCATGGCTTTGTATTTTGCATACAGCACTGAAGATCTAGCCCTGACCCCTGCAGCTGAGCACAGAGTGGGCCCTCAACACATACTAAGCTGGAGACAGCGACTGTGTCCCTCTCTGGCATGGCTGTGTTGGCCCCAGGACCAACACAGGCTGGACGCCGAGGCGCCCTAGCCCGAGGTTCCAGAGCCTGCGGGAAGGATACGGTCATAAGGACGCCCCCGAAGAGAAACATGAAGACGAAGTCGGCCGTGCGGCCGCGGAAGGAGCCCTCTTCC
This sequence comes from Homo sapiens, assembly GCF_000001405.40. NCBI lineage: Eukaryota > Metazoa > Chordata > Mammalia > Primates > Hominidae > Homo > Homo sapiens. Next base: position 74,787 of record NT_187633.1, read on the forward strand.
AGCATGCGGCAGTAGCGGAACCTACGGCGTCGGTATAGGAAGTGCCACCAGGCGGGGCCTCAGTTTCCCCGTCCCGGCCTCTCTCCCAGCCCGGCCGGCCTGCCCTCCACCCAGCCCGTGTCCGCAGGGCGCAGGATACACGAAGAGCATGTTGAAGAAGAAGCTGAATCCCAGGGGCCCGAAGAAGAGGAAGTTGGTGACGAGCCTCCAGACCTACGGGGGACGGGCGGTCAGGTGCGGGGTGGGTGGGTCGGGCCCACAGGTGCGCGGCGCGGGGCGGCCTCACCTGGAACTTCCGGAACACAAGGTGCGGGTTGAAGTAGAGTTGAAAGGGGCTGAGGAGCTCCAGCTGCTGTGGAACCAGGGGCCAGTCAAGAGCTGCCCGGGAGCCACGCCGTAACCATGGCGACCCTCACCCCTCCCGCCAGAGGCTGTAACCAAGGCGACGTCCGGTCCGCCCGGCCGCTTACCACCGCGGCGGTGGTGAGGACACAGGCTGCGGTGTAAGCCCGCGTCACCGCCGGCACCTGCAGGAACTCGGCCGCTAGTCCCTGCCACGCCATTGAACCTTCTCAAGCACGCGTGGCCCAGCCAGCAACGCGCTCTTTAACCCGCCTCCCAGCCCCGCCTTCGGCCAATCCGCATCCGAGGCGCTGCGCGCCCCAGGCTGAAAAGAGAGCCCCTGAGCCCGACAGCCAATGGAAGGAAGAAGAGGGAAATTAGGGGCGGAAAGGGAGAGTGGGCGGGTAGAGGCTGGTGGCCAATGGGCAGGCGCCAAGGTTGAGCACGTGGCGGTTGTTGTGGCTGCGGTGGTGGCGCGGGAGAACGTGTGGCCAATGAGGAACTGGTCATTTCGCGGCTTTCTAGGAGAGGACCAGTAGCGTGGACCCACGACACCACGGGGGCGGGGCTAAGATCGTATGGGTTACAGGAGCGAAGACCCGAGCAGGCGAGGCAAAACTGGAAAGGGCGGGGCGCGTGGGCGGGGCGCGGAGTGTGGCGGCTCAGACCGTGCTGGCTCACTAACTGACGACCTAGCCACAACGTTGTCCTCGCTGCCAGCCCAAGACAGGCCCACCTAACCCACAGCAGGGAGGCATTCGGGAATGTGTCCAAACCTCCCCAAACGTCCAGGGCCCCACTCAAATGTGCCGGCCGCTGTCGGGGTTCTTCCCCGGGGGCCCAAGGAAGGAGAGGCAGGACTGCGGGATTGAGTCCAGGTGGGGCGCGAGGGTTGAGAGGCGCACCAGAGCAAGTGGACAGGCAGGAGAGGTCCTCAATATTTTGGTGGAAAATAGAAACCAACCTACCCACCTTCCTTCCCTCCTTCCCTCCCTCCCTCCCTCCCTTCCTTCCTTCCACCGTTTATTAAACAACTGTTTGCCTGACACTGTTCTAGATGTTGGGGATGTAGCATGCAATAAAAGACACTGTCTCTTAGAGTCCAGCCAGGAGGCAGTCAATACAATAAGCTAGTGCTGACACTTGATGAGAATATTGCCAAGTGAGGGGTGGGGCCACGTGGGCGTCCGCAGTGCCAGGTGGGGTGACCTGGGATACCTCTAAAGTTTGTCACTTTGCAAGCATCCCTGTGTCCATCAGGATGGTAACTGTGAAAAGCAAAACAATAAAACAAAATAAGTGTTGGCGAGGATATGGGGAAATTGGAACCCTTGGGCACCGTTGGTGGGAATATAAAATGGTGCATCCGCTGTGAAAAACAATATGATCATGACTCAAAAAATTAAAAATAGAATTACCGTATGATCCAGCAATGCTGCTTGTGGGTACACATTCAAAAGAATCAAAAGCAGGGACTTGAACAGATGTTCATACACCCATGTTCATGGCCCCATTATTCACAATGGTTCACATCAGTTCACCCACCGATGAGACAGACGAAATGTGCTGTCTACATGCAATGCAATACCATTCAACCTTAAAGGAATGAAATTCGGATACATGATGCAGCATGGATGACCCTTGAAGACATTACACCCAGTAACATAAACCAGTCACAAGGCTGGGCGCAGTGGCTCACACCTGTAATCCCAGCACTTTGGGAGGCCGAGGCGGGTGGATCACCTGAGGTCAGGAGTTCGAGACCAGCCTGGCCAACATGGTGAAACCTCGTCTCTACTAAAAATACAAAAATTAGCTGGGCGTGGTGGCGGGCACCTGTAATCCTGGCTATTCGGGAGGCTGAGGCAGGAGAATTGCTTGAATCCGGGAGATGGAGGTTGTGGTGAGCCGAGATTGCACCACTGCACTCCAGCCTGGGCAACAGAGTGAGACTCCGTCTCAAAAAAAAAAAAACCAGTCACAAAAAGACAAATACTGTATGGTTCCACTTATATGAGAGGGGATCAGGGAGTTATTGTTTAATGAGTGCAGTTCCAGTTTGGGAAAATGAAAAAGTTCTGGAGATGGATGGTGGGGAGGGTTGCATAAGAATGTTTAATACCACTGAACTGAACACTTGAAAATAGTTTGGACAAATTTTATGTTGTGTATATGTTACTAAAATTTAAAAAAAAACAACAAACCTCTGTGTTTGCTGTCAGGGTAGTGGACTGCCAGAGGAATCCTTGAGCAGGGGGAATCCTTAAGGGACAGTGATTACTTTCGGGGCTGGGAGGTGGAACCTGGAGGACAAGGAGGGGTGGGATATGGGTTTGCCTACAGACGGGACAGGGCTGAGAGGGGAGTCCAAGTGGATTCAGAGGCCTGAGCCGCAGAGTGGTTGGATGGTGGTGGTCTTTGTTGAGATGGAGGGCTCGTGGGGAGAAGGTGAGGGGCATAGAGGGTCCTGTTCTGGACTCATCGAATTTGAGGCATCTGTGTGACATCACTTGGAAAAATCTGAGTGTGGTGTTGGGGTAGGGGTTGGAGCAGACAGTCTAAATGTGGGTGCCGTCATCCAGTAGTAGATCAATGGTATTTGTAGCTTTGGGCGTGTGTGAGATGCTCAAGGGGCAAGGGTTGATGGAGAAAAGAGGCCAGGCCTGGGTAGCCTGACCTGCAGTAGCCAGGGAGGGAAGGCAGCCCCAGCTGGGGAGGCCAAGGGAGGCTGAGCCAGGAAAGGGCTTCAGGAGCCAGGCAGTGAGAATCCAGGGAGACGTGGCCCGGGAAGGGACTGTGAATTGCAGCCATGCCAAGGTTCCTGGTAACCAGGATAATGGCAGGCAGGAGGGAGAGGAAGGCACACAAATGGATGTGCCTTAACAAACAAGGGGAGTGCAGCCTTGGAGGGAAGTGTGGAAAACGAGGGATGCTCTGGACAGGGCCCTGAGGTCCCCCGAGGAGACTGGAACTGGCCAAGAGGGAGAACTGGCTGAGAAGGCTCTCAGGTGGATCCCAAGAGCGTGAGGGTCCCACAAGGGCCCTGAGAGGGGTTCCCTGGGGAGTGGGGTGAGACCAGTGCCTAATGACAGTGGGTTCAGGAGCCTTCCTCCCTGCTCTGGAGGGGACGGGGAGAGCCTGGAGTGCTGGAGGGAAGTGCATTTGCTGGAGGGATGTGAGGAGAAGGTCTGGCCTCATACAGCAGGGGTTGGACCAAGACACTGAGGGGTTGGGGGCTGGGAGCAGGGTGAGCGGACCCCCGCAGACAACCTTGGTTTTCCAGCAAAGCAGGCTAAGGTCATGTTGGAAGCATGCCAGGCAGAGCAAATCCCACCCTGGCAGCCACAGTGTGCAGCAGGGCGGGGACCCAGGGCCTCTGACGCCTGGGCGGGCGCCCGGTGGGCACAAAGGAGCCGGTGCAGGAGGTCGGGTTTCATGTCAGCGTGGGGAAGGGGAGATATTCCTCCTCCAGGCACTTAGCAGGCGCTGGCCGGCCCTCAACTCAGGGTCAGGCTGGGGCTAACAGGAGGGGATGTCATTGTCGACAGGGGCGTCTGTCTCCCCTTCGACTGGGGGCCGATAAGGCAGGCGCCCAGATTGGGGGCTGAGAAGCACATTCCTGGGAGGCCAGGAGCCTGGGGCGGGTGGGGGAGGCCAGCCAGGGCTGGGAGGGAGGACATCCAGGGAACAGCAGCTGGGTCCACTGCAGAGGCTCCCTTTCCGGAGCCCCGGGATATCCTCAGATGGGGGAACTGAGGCACGTAAGGATGCAGAACAGGGCCTGGGGCAGACCTCCATTCTTTCTTGTCCAGTCTGAGGCCCAGAACAGGCCACTCTGGAAATACTAGGTCCACTTCTCCTTGGACCCTTGAGCCCCTCCAGATAATTCTTTATAGAGGGAAGCCCTGGGCATCCCAAGTTCCCAGGGTCCTAGAGATGCAGGGTGTGCCTTACCCTAACATCAGGGTGGCAGACCTGTCGGCTGGGCCAGCCTTCTTTCTCCTGTGCTGAGGATGGTGGGTGGGTGGAGACCTGTGGTTCCTCGGCAAGGTGACAATGGGCTCTGCTCCCCATGCCACCTCCCTGGCATTGTGACGCTTCCTGCTGACTCCCAGAGGACACCTAGATCTCCTGTCCAGGCCCTCTCAGTGTCTGTAGGCAGGATAGCGCCCTCTGCATACTCTCCCCACCCAGCTTTCCCCCTCACTGGCCTCACACACTAGGAGGGGCCATCCTCAGCCCCCAAGCCTGGAGTCAGCTCTATACCCTCAGCCCCATGTTGCACTTTTTTTTTTTTTTCCTAGAGACAGGGTCTTGCTCTGTTGCCCAGACTGGAGAGTAGTGGCGTGATCACAGCTCACTGCAGCCTCAACCTCTTGGGCTCAAGTGATCCTCCCACCTCAACCTCCCAAGTAGCTGGGACAACAGGCATATGCCACCATGCCCCGCTAATTTTTTAATTTTTTTGTAGAGATGGCGTCTCACTGTGTTGCTTAGACTGGTCGCAAACCCCTGTCCTCAAGCAATCCTCCCTTGGACTCCCAAAGTGCTGGGATTACAGGCGTGAGCCACCACGCCCGGCCCCCTATGTCACACTTGATGCTCCCATGGAACTCTCTAGTCCTTTCCCTTCTCTCCTATGCCTTACCACCACCACTAACTCTTATTCAGGCCTCAGGTTCTCTCCTCTAATATTGTCCCAGCTCTCTGAACTATTCATTCTGTTAAAAAAAAAAAAAAAAAAAAGAGTAAGGCTGGGTGTGGCGGCTCACGCCTGTAGTCCTAGCACTTTGGGAGGCTGAGGAAGGCGGATTGCCTGAGCTCAGGAGTTCAACACCAGCCTGGGCAACATACAGAAACCCCATCTCTACAAAAAATACAGAAATTAGCCAGACGTGCTGGTGCATGCCTGTAGCCCCAAGTGGGAAGGGGGAGAGAGCCAGGGGGCTGAGGCTGGAGGATCGCTTGAGCCTGGGAGGTCAAGGCTGCAGTGAGCAGAGATTGCACCACTGCACTCCAGCCTGGGTGACAGAGTGAGACCCCGACTCTTAAAAATATTTTTTAAAAAATGTTTCCTGGCTGGGCACATTGGCTCATGCCTGTAATCTCAGAACCCTGGGAGGCCAAGGCCGGTGGATCACCTGAGGTCAGGAGTTGGAGACCAGCCTGGCCAACATGGTGAAACCCTGTCTCTATTAAAGATACAAAAATTAGCCAAGCAAGGTGGTATGCACCTGTAATCCCAGCTACTCAGGAGGCTGAGGCACGAGAATCACCTGAACCCCGGGGGCGGATGTTGCGGTGAGCCAAGATCGTGCCACTGCACTCCAGCCTGGGCGACAGAACAAGACTCTGTCTCAAAAATAATAAAATAATAAAATAAATATGTTTCTTAAAAGCAAAATAAATAAAATTAAAAAAATAAGAGAGGAAGAGCAGAGGGTGAAAGTGCCTCCTACTCCAGGAAGCCCTCCCTGGTCACCTTCAAAGGGACCAGAGCTCACCTACTTCTGTTAGAGTCCTGAGCACTTAATTTTTAAATATATTTTATTCTAAAGGCAGTCCATGCCTGTTGTAACTAACCACAAGAATCAAACAAACTGAACGTTTGTGTACCTGCTGGTGCAGCTGTATTTTCTTCTTGATGACACATAGTGCCTTTTGGGCCCTGAGCACTTGTCCATTGGGGGACCTCTCCCCTCTTTGAGCACGGGGCCCACCCCCTTTGAGCACAGGGACCCCTGCAATTGCTGTGAGTAGGCTTCCAGCTAGCCCCTCCCAGAAACAGCTGTGTCCCCCTTGGCCCTTCCTGTCTGGGCCACAGGCTATTTTTAGCACTGAATCCGGAACCCACATAGCAGCAGCTGCTTGTGGCCGGAGCGCAAGAACAACAAACCATCCAGGTGGGTTGTGTCAGGCTGCAGAGGGAGCGGCCTGGGCCTGGCCCTCTGAACCTGGTAGCAGAATCTGGACTTTCCAGGAATAAGCTGGTCTCTGGGTGGGATGGGGAGGGAGGAAGCAGAATGGGGCAGAGGATGGGTTGCACTAGCTAGGCCAGGATAGGGGAAGGGCCTGTGCAAAGGCCCTGAGGTAACTGGGGGAGAGGAAGGGAGCAGAGGAGAGAAGGTGAAGGAGGCAAGGAAGAAGAGTTGCTTGTGACGGGAGGGAGAAGCGGGGCCAGGCCAGGCAGAGGTGTGTCGGCCGTGGTCTCTGTCCTAATCAGATGAGCCGGGGAGGAGAGCGGTGGCCTGCAGTGGCTTGCATTAACAGCGAGGGAGTGGAAGGGTTAGGATGGCTGAAGCCACAGGCCTTAGTGAATGCTTGGTAGTGGGGGTGAAGGTAGGAGGGGTCCTGGCCTACCCAGCTTGGGGGACAGTGAGCCCCCACTGGGTGGAGACATGGGTGAATGGCCAGTAAGGGAGGGAGACCACTCGTTGAGTCAGGCAGGTGAGCTTGGGGTGCTGTGGGGTGGAAGCCCTCCCTGGCCTCTAGCCCAGTCCTCCCAGCTCCTTCCCTTCCGTGGCCCTGGTCATTCCTGCTTCATGCAGAAGGGCTGCAGTTGTCCACACAATGGCCCCTCTAGGCCTGGTTTCTGCTGCGGAGCTGGCACAGGCAGGGGCTTGGTAAACAGGGAAAAACAGGGAAACTTGTGAAGACAGAGACCTGGACTCCAGGGCTGGAAATGCAGCCTCGGGGCTGGCATTGTGACCTGAGCACTCCCTTCCCTCTCTGGCTCTGTGTCCCTCTCTGTGAGATGCGGGTCAGAAGGGTCCATGTGTAGAGTCTCTTTCAGCTCCAAGGTTGTACTCTGATCTATAATGGGGGTATCAGAGATTTCTGGGTGGAAGCCCCTTCCTGTAACAAACACAGCTGGCCTCCCCATCCAAGGCCCATCTCTGCTATGAATAAGTGAATGCTTATGAGCAAGAATGCACCAACAGAGGAAGCTGGAGGGCCCCTGCCAGTCCTCTCTGCCGGATCTGTTCCTCGCTGTCTCCTCTCAGCCAGGAGCCTTCATGGGCCTATGGTCAGGAACAGCCAGAGAGGCCTGCAGGGCTGGGGAGGGAGTCGCTGTGGGTGCCTTTTTCCTGCAGGAGCTCAGCTTCTGGCCAGGGGAGGAGACACTGAATCCCATACCAAGCAGGGAGTGGAAATGCACTGGTGAGTGGTCCAGGGCAGCCGTGGGGCAGGAGAGCTCCTGATGAGGACAGGAGGAGGAGGGGATGTGCTAGGCAGGGACAAAGGCTTAAGCAAAAGTGGGGAGGCAGGAATGGGCCCGTGTGCTGCTCATGGACTAGGCAAGGACCTGTGAAGTGCGGGAGATAATAGCTGCTCAGTGATCTATAGCCAGACTGCACCATGGCTTTTATTAAACTCACCGAACCCTCATCACCACCTGATGAAGTAGGTTACTATTACGGATGAGAAAATAGGCTCAGAGAGGTTCAGTAAACTGCCTGAGGACACACAGCTAAAGAGGCACAAAATCAGCAGTCCTGGCTTTGCCACCATAACGGGTGATGGAAGGGACCCATGCGGAGGAAGTGAGCTATCCCTGACCCCATCACTGGGGCACAGGGGAGTGAGGGACATCACCAACCAGCTAATGCTGTGCAGCCCCAGACCCTTTTCCAGCTCCGGTTTGGAGGTGAGAACTTTTTGCAGCCTCTGGGCTCCCAGGGAGCGTCTCCAACATGAGACTCCACTCCTGAGCTGCCTCCCTGCTGTCTGGGCCTCGTTTTACTGTCTCTGACCCTTCATGGCTGATGAAACTGTCTCCATTCAGCCCTCAGCTGCGGGACCTGCCTGAGCCTGTGTCCTGACTGTCATGACCCAGAGCAATTGCCAGGAATTCCCACTTCCTGCTGTGGCCGCTGCCAGAATGTCAAAGCCACCTCCGGCCAAGCACCCCAGAGCTCCAGAGCATCTGGTGGGGGCTTCCCCCTCCCCTGCCTCAGCTATTTTCAAGCTCAGCACTGTGGGCGGTGTAGGGGGAGAAGCAGATTATCTGTTTGGCAGAGTCAGCCATATGGCAGGGCCAGGGATATGAGTTCACAGAGACAAAACCTGAGACAGCTCTGTCTTTGACTTCGAAAAAGCCTGGCGGAGTGGCGTGTGGCTGTAGTCCCAGCGGAGGCAGGAGGATTGCTTGAGCCCGGGAGTTCGAGGCCAGCCTGGGCAACAGCGTGACACTCCATCTCTACGAAAACAAAACTAATCTTTAGGGACTGGGGCCACCACTCTGGAAGGCCTTGCCCAGGACTAGTGACTCAGAGCCATGGGTCTGGTGGAAGGAGAGGTTCAGAAAGGCCTGGGTTCAGCCAGGTGCGGTGGCTCACGCCTGTAATCCCAGCACTTTGGGAGGCTGAGGCTGACAGATCACCTGAGGTCGGGAGTTCTAGAGCAACCTGACTAACATGGAGAAACCCGTCTCTACTAAAAATACAAAATTAGCTGGGCATGGTGGTGCATGCCTGTAGTTCCAACTCTTTGGGGGGCTGAGGCAGGAGAATCGCTTGAACACGGGAGGCGGAGGTTGCGGTGAGCTGAGATCGTGCCACTGGACTCCAGCCTGGACAACAAGAGCGAAACTCCGTCTCAAAAAAAAAAAAAGAAAGAAAGGCCTTGGTTCACCCCACCTCCACTGGCTTGCATCCACTGATAGCCCCACCAAGCAGCCAGGCCCTGCTCCCATGAGTGAGGGGCATGCTCCCCGTGCCAGGTGATTGTCCAGCCGCTGGGATGGGAGGCTCCTAACGGTGGGCTGAGATGACAACCCAGGTGACCCATCCTTTCACAGTGACACCACCAGGGCCCCTGCCTCCACGTCCTCCTCCAAACACTCACCCAGCCCTCCAATGCCCTTCACTTTCATGAGACTGGGGGGCCTCTTTAAGAAAATGAATGCAAAACAGCCGGGCGCGGTGGCTCATGCCTGTAATCCCAACACTTTGGGAGGCCGAGGTGGGCGGATCACCTGAGGTCAGTAGTTCAAGACCAGCCTGGCCAACACGGCGAAACCCTATCTGTACTAAAAATACAAAAATTACGAAAATTAGTGGGGTGTGGTGGCAGGCTCCTGTAATAATCCCAGCTACTCGGGAGGCTGAGGCGGGAGAATTGCTTGAACACAGGTGGCGGAGGTTGCAGTGAGCTGAGATCGTGCCATTGCACTCCAGCCTGGGCAACAAGAGTGAAACTCTGTCTCAAAAAAAAAAAAAAATGCAAAACAAATGCAAGATTAGGTCGCAAAGTGAGTATTTGAAATGCAAACAAATGACCAATTTGGTTGCCCCGTTGGAGAGAAGAGAAAACCGAGGCTGCGGCACGGGGAGGGCTTCCTTGGTGAGGGCAGACGCAGGAAGGCACACCTGTCCCACTGCTTGCGCATCCCAAACCTGCAGAAGGTGGTCCAGCCACAGCGGACTGGCTGCTGTGGCATCTCCCCACCCCCTTCCAAGAGGCCCTGCTTAGAGGCCCCCTCCGCCCCAAGGAATGCAGGCATCAGTGCTTCAGACTCTGGCCTAACCACCGTCCCCACCTCCCAGGCCCCCACCCTTTCCCTCCAGATGTGGGCACAGCTGTATTTTTAGAACAGCCGACCACGAGGACATTCTTTCCTTCTAATTAAGATGGCTTCAAATCTCTCATCTGCAATCAGCCCCATTGTTCAGTCCTCAAACATCAAAGGGTGGCCAGGAGGGGCCGCCTCAGCTGGTTGTGGGGTTGGGGCTTGTTTTCTTTCTTTCTTTGTCTTTGAGCCATTACGCTGGAAATGAGACCCAGAACCGGAGTGGATGCCAGCTCTGAGGAGGAAGAAGCAGGCCTTTGGGTAGTTTGCAGGACCTGCCTGTCTGCACCCCTGCACCCTGTCGCCAACCTTGAGTGAGGTTGTCCAGCTAGGCTGCAGCCCCCCAGTGCACCCATCTGAGGTTAGGGTCTGTCTGGGACAACTGCGGGATCAAAAAAGGCCCTGTGTTGGCTGGGCGCGGTGGCTCTCGCGTGTAATCGCAGTGCTTTGGGAGGCCAAGGTGGGCAGATAACCTGAGGTCAGGAGTTCGAGACTAGCCTGGCCAACATGGTGAAACCTCGTCTCTACTAAAAATACAAAAATTAGCCGGGCATGTTGGCTCACGCCTGTAATCCCAGCAAGTCGGGAGGCTGAGGCAGGAGAATCGCTTGAACCCCGGGGGCAGAGGCTTCAGTGATCATCAGGCCTCCTGACCTCCTCCCTCTCCCCCGCAGGAGGCCCCTGGTGTAGGACAGAGATGCCCACCCACGTGGGGGCAATAGGAAAGGCTGCAGGGAGGAATGGCCTCTGGGTAGCCTTGAACCGTGTTACAGTCCTCCGTGCTACAGCGCTCTCAAGCCCACTGACAGATGAGGAAACCGAGGCTCAGAGAGGCCAACAGGCTGGCCTAGAGCTGCTCAGCCCACTAGCAGTGAGGTGCTCAGGAACGCTAGGTCCCCGCAGTCAGCCGTGCCCTGCACCCCTCACTCATCCCCAGGGATGGACCGGGCCTGCTGCTGCCTGAGCCTTGGCTCCAGGTAGGAGGCACCTGTCCCACCCCGCATGGAGCAGAGAGGAGAGCCACGCAGGCGGGCCGAGGCCGGATGGGACTGGCGTCAGGCTTCTCAGCTCCCCAGGGTCCTGGCCCACCCGGCCCCGCGCGGCTGGATGTGAGGACAGGGCAAGTGAAATCGCACCGGGGCGGGTGGCGCAGGGCAGGAGGCTGCAACTCGGTACAACGGCCAGGACTGGAGCGCCCAAGAGCTGAGGGGCAGGGAGGGCAAGGCAGAAAGGGGAGCCTCCCCAGATGAAGTGCCCCCTACCCAGCGGCGCCTGGGCGCAGGCCTCCTTTGTGTCACCGCCACCACTGAACCTTCGCGAGTCGGCGGCAATCGCTGGTGCTGGGTTCCGCAGAGCCCGGGCTCTGTCGCCCCCTCGCGGCCGGAGCCGGTCTGGGCGGCGTCGGGGAAATCCCGAAAAGCCTGCGGGGAAGAAGCTGAACGGGGGCGGGACCCGGGCGCGGTGAGCCCATTCATTCCCCGAGGGCTGGGAAAGTCTCCACCAGGAGACGGAATCCCTGGGATGTCCCCAACGCTGGGCCCTGCCTCCCTAGGCCCAGGTAACAGGCATTTTCTAAGACAGTTCAGGGACACGGAGGCACCCCGCTGGAAGAGCCGGTGGGCTCCCGGGTGGGGTACGGGCCGGGTGGGAGTCAGTATCACCAGCGGGCTTCGCTGGATTGATTGTTTTTATTTATTTATTTTTAAATATTTATTTATTTATTTTTGAGACGGAGTTTCGCTCTGTCGCTCACGCTGGAGTTCAGTGGCACGATCTTGGCTCACTGCAACCTCTGCCTCCCCGGCTCAAGCAAGCCTCCTGCCTCAGCCTCCCCAGTAGCTAAGATTACAGGCGCCCACCACACACCCGGCTAATCTTTGTATTTTTGGTAGAGATGAGGTTTCACCAGGCAGACCTCAGTTGATCCGCCTGCCTCAGCCTTCCGCAGTGCTGCGATAACAGGCAGGAGCCACCGCGCCCGGCCTGTATTGATTGTTTTTAGTTTGAGCTGCGCTCCTCCCTTGGCAATGTGAGGAAGACCAGCTCTGCCAGCCGGGCTGTAGGGCTGGTGCGGGCACCGGCTTGGCCTCACAGAGCCTCAGGGACTCCCCTCGTAAATGAGGCTGACATCCACATATGGGTGGTTGCACCTAGCACTGCACAGGACGGATGTGAGCACCAGGCTGCTACAAATACAGATATGACTTTCACATGCCCAAGGTTAAACTCCCAGTCAATGTTTGCTGAGGCGAAACCTAGAGCTTCCTGGCCAAAGGATAATAATTAATGTCTGGGGAGCCCACACATGGGGACCTGTCTCCAACGAGATGGGGGTGGCTTTAGGGCATCCAAGAGGCATTTCAAGGAGAATCAAGGGGCAGCCAGGTATTGTTAATGGTGGCCAGGTCAGGATCCAGTCTGGCAGGGTCTTGGATTCAAGGTTAAACCCAGTTCTAAATTTGGGACTTATCCCCAGGCTCGCCCCCAGGCTTTTACTATGTAGACATATATATTCCTACACACATTAGGTACGGTTTTGTATATTTCCAAACAATATACAGGCATAATAGTGTAGGCATCTTTCTGCAACTTTGTTCATGCAGCGTTGTGATTCACACATGTTGATACCGTTCCTCTAGTCTAGTCCACTGATTTTCACTGATGCATGGTATTCTATGGTATTCTACAGCTTATATCTCCTTTTTTTGCATGATTGACATTTGGATAGTTTCCAATTTTCCTATGGTACAAAAGATGCTGCATTTGTGAACAGTTCCTGAGCATGGGATTAAGAGTTTCTCCAAGGTAAACCCAGGAGTGGAATTGCTGGGTGGGAGAGGTATGTGAACTTCAACTTCCTTCATCTGCCCAAATTGCTCTCCAGAGTCATTGCACTGATTTACATTTTTCCTTCCTTCCTTCCTTCATTCCTTCCTTCCTTTTTTTGAGATAGGGTCTTAGTCTGTCACTCAGGCTGGAGTGCAGTGGTGTGAACATGGCTCACTGCAGCCTTGACCTCCTGGGCTCAAGCTTTTTTTCCCACCTCAACCTCCTAAGTAACTGGGACCACAGCTGTGTGGTGTGCCACTGTGCCCAGCTAATTAAAAAAAATAAATTATAGAGACAGGGTCTCACCACATTGCCTAGGCTGGTTTGAAACTTCAGCCTCAAATGATCCTCCTATTTTGGCCTCCTAAAGTGGTGGGATTACAGGCATGAGCCACCACACCTAGTTCCAACTGATATTTTCATCAATAGTACGTGGGTGTTCCAGCTGATCAACACCACCACTTGGTATTGCCAGAATTAAGCTGTTAGTCTGTTGAGTGGGAACCAATATGCTGATGTGGATTTAATTTGCATTTCCTGATTACTAATGTAGCTATCTTTTAATTAGGTTTTTTGGTCATTTCAGTTTCCTCTTCTGTAAATTCCTTGTTCATATCTTTTTTTTTTTTGAGACGGAGTTTCACTCTGTCGCCCAGGTTGGAGTGTAGTGGCACGATCTCGGCTCACTGCAAGTTCTGCCTCCTGGGCTCAAGTGATCCTCATGCCTCAGCCTCCTGAGTAGCTGGGACTACAGGCCAAACCACCATGCCAAGCTAATTTTTTGTATTTTTTGGTAGAGATGGGGTTTAATTTTTTGTATTTTTGGTAGAGACGGGGTTTTACCATGTTTCCCAGGCTGGTCTCGAACTCCTGAGATCAAGCGATCTGCCCCGCCTTGGCCTCCCAAGTGCTGAGATTATAGGCATGAGCCACCGTGTCAAGCCTGTTTGCCCATTTTCTTTTCCTTATTGGTATGTGGGTATTCTATATACATTCTGAATACTAATACTGTGTTGGTCATATGTTGTAGTTACCTTCTTCTACTTGGTAGCTTTAGGTTTCAACTTTTTAAAAAATGCGTATTTTTTTATTTAAAAAATCGAGATGTGGTCTCACTATGTTGTCAGGGCTGGTCTCGAACTCTTGAACTCAAGTGATCCTCCCACTTCGGCCTCCCAAAGTGCTAGGATCGCAGGCTGGAGCCACCACACCTGGCCAGGTTTCACCTTTTCATGGCGTCTTTTGTTTGTTTATTTGAGACAGGGTCTTACTCTGTTGCCCCAGTTGGAGTGCAGTGCTGTGATCACCGATTACTGCAGCCTCAACTTCCCTGGCTCAGGTAATCCTCCCTGAGCCTCAGTCTCCTGGGTAGCTGGGACCACAGGCTCAAGCCATCATGCCCGGCTAATTTTTTGTAATTTTTGTAGAGACGGGGTTTTGCCATGCTGCCCGGGCTGTTCTCAAACTCCTGGGCTCAAGCAATCCACCCACCGTGGCCTCCCAAGGTACTTGGATTACAGGCGTAAACCACTGTGCCTGGCCCATTAATGGTGTCTTTTAACACACAGATTTTTAATTTTAATAAGGTTAAATCCTCATAAGAAATCTGCGTGGTTTATCCTTGTTTAACCCGGGGTTATAAAAGTATTATATATTTCCTTTTTATTTTTATTTTTTGAGATGGAGTTTCACTCTGTCATCTAGGCTGGAGTACAGTGGCGCAATCTTGGCTCACTGCAACCTCTGTCTCCTGGGTTCAGGTGACTCTCCTGCCTCAGCCTCCTGAGTAGCTGGGATTACAGGTGCCCGCCACCACACCCAGCTAATTTTTGTATTTTTAGTAGAGACGGGGTTTCGCCATGTTGGCCAGGCTGGTCTGGAACTCCTGACCTCAGGTGATCCACCTGCCTTGGCCTCCCAAAGTGCTCGGATTACAGGCATTAGCCACCTCGCCCGGCCTTTACATTTTTTTTTATAGAGATGGGGGTCTGCCCATGTTGCCCAGGCTGGTCTTGAACTTATGCGCTCAAGTGATCCTCCTGCCTCAGTCTCCCAAAGTGCTGGGATTACAGGTGGGAGCTACTGCGTCCAGCCTAAAATGTTTGAAGTTAGGTTTTTGCATTAGGTTTGTGTGTACCTGGAATGACTTTTGTATATGAAGTGAGACAGAGGTCCACACTTTTTCCCCATATCATCAACTGTCCTAGCGCCATTTATTAGCCCGTCACTTCCCACTTATTTATTATTATTATTTTTTGAGACGGAGTCTCTCTGTCGCCCAGACGGGAGTGCAGTGGCACGACCTTGGCTCACTGCAAGCTCCGCCTCCCGGGTTCACGCCATTCTCTCGCCTCAGCCTCCCGAGTAGCTGGGACTACAGGAGCGTGCCGCCACGCCCGGCTAATTTTTTGTATTTTTAATAGAGACAGGGTTTCACCGTGTTAGCCAGGATGGTCTCGATCTCCTGACCTCGTGATCTGCCTGCCTCGGCCTCCCAAAGTGCTGGGATTACAGGCGTGAGCCACCGCACCCGGCCACTTCCCACTTATTTCTTAAGGGGGAAAAGGCAATGGTTGTTTTGAAAAAAAATTAACCTGCTCTCCCTCTCCCTCTCCCTCTCCCTCTCCCTCTCCCTCCCCCTCCCCCTCCCTCTCCCTCTCCCTCTCCCTCTCCCTCCACGGTCTCCCTCTGATGCCGAGCCAAGGCTGGACGGTACTGCTGCCATCTCGGCTCACTGCAACCTCCCTGCCTGATTCTCCTGCCTCAGCCTGCCGAGTGCCTGCGATTGCAGGCGCGCACCGCCACGCCTGACTGGTTTTCGTTTTTTTTTTGGTGGAGACGGGGTTTCGCTGTGTTGGCCGGGCTGGTCTCCAGCTCCTAGCCGCGAGTGATCCGCCAGCCTCGGCCTCCCGAGGTGCCGGGATTGCAGATGGAGTCTCGTTCACTCAGTGCTCAATGGTGCCCAGGCTGGAGTGCAGTGGCGTGATCTCGGCTCGCTGCAACCACCTCCCAGCCGCCTGCCTTGGCCTCCCGGAGAGCCGAGATTGCAGCCTCTGCCCGGCCGCCACCCCGTATGGGAAGTGAGGAGCGTCTCTGCTTGGCCACCCATCGTCTGGGATGTGAGGAGCCCCTCTGCCTGGCTGCCCAGTCTGGAAAGTGAGGAGCGTCTCTGCCCGGCCGCCATCCCATCTGGGAAGCGAGGAGCGCCTCTTCCCCGCCGCCATCCCATCTAGGAAGTGAGGAGCGTCTCTGCCCGGCCGCCCATCGTCTGAGATGTGGGGAGCACCTCTGCCCCGCCGCCCTGTCTGGGATGTGAGGAGCGCCTCTGCTGGGCCGCAGCCCTGTCTGGGAGGTGGGGAGCGTCTCTGCCCGGCTGCTCCGTCTGAGAAGTGAGGAAACCCTCTGCCTGGCAACCGCCCCGTCTGAGAAGTGAGGAGCCCCTCCGTCCGGCAACCACCCCGTCTGGGAAGTGAGGAGCGTCTCCGCCCAGCAGCCACCCCGTCCGGGAGGGAGGTGGGGGGGGTCAGCCCCCCGCCCGGCCAGCCGCCCCGTCCTGGAGGTGAGGGGCTCCTCTGCCCGGCCGCCCCTACTGGGAAGTGAGGAGCCCCTCTGCCCGGCCAGACGCCCCGTCCAGGAGGGAGGTGGGGGGGTCAGCCCCCCGCCCGGCCAGCCGCCCAGTCCGGGAGGGAGGTGGGGGGTCAGCCCCCCGCCCGGCCAGCCGCCCCGTCTGGGAGGGAGGTGGGGGGATCAGCCCCCCGCCTGGCCAGCCGCCCCATCCGGGAGGTGAGGGGCGCCTCTGCCCGGCCGCCCCTACTGGGAAGTGAGGAGCCCCTCTGCCCGGCCAGCCGCCCCGCCCGGGAGGGAGGTGGGGGGGTCATCCCCCCACCTGGCCAGCCGCCCCATCCGGGAGGGAGGTGGGGGGGTCAGCCCCCTGCCCGGCCAGCCGCCCCGTCCGGGAGGGGGGAGGGGGGGTCAGCCCCCTGCCCGGCCAGCCGCCCCGTCCGGGAGGGAGGTGGGGGGGGTCAGCCCCCCGCCTGGCCAGCCGCCCCGTCCGGGAGGGAGGTGGGGGGATCAGCCCCCCGCCTGGCCAGTCGCCCCGTCCGGGAGGTGAGGGGCGCCTCTGCCCGGCCGCCCCTACTGGAAAGTGAGGAGCCCCTCTGCCCGGCCAGCCGCCCCGTCCGGGAGGGAGGCGGGGTGGGGGGGGGGGGGTCGGCCAGCCGCCCCGTCCGGGAGGGAGGTGGGGGGGGTCAGCCCCCCTTCCGGCCGGCCGCCCCGTCCGGGAGGTGAGGGGCGCCTCTGCCCGGCCGCCCCTACTGGGAAGTGAGGACCCCTCTGCCCGGCCAGCCGCCCCGTCCGGGAGGGAGGTGGGGGGGACAGCCCCCCGCCCAGCCAGCCGCCCTATCCAGGAGGTGAGGGGCGCCTCTGCCCGGCCGTCCCTACTGGGAAGTGAGGAGCCCCTCTGCCTGGCCAGCCGCCCCGTCCGGGAGGGTGGTGGGGGGGTCAGCCCCCCGCCCGGCCAGCCGCCCCATCCGGGAGGTGAGGGGCGCTTCTGCCCGGCCGCCCCTACTGGGAAGTGAGGAGCCCCTCTGCCCGGCCACGACCCCGTCTGGGAGGTGTGCCCAGCGGCTCATTGGGGATGGGCCATGATGACAATGGCGGTTTTGTGGAATAGAAAGGCGGGAAGGGTGGGGAAAAAATTGAGAAATCGGATGGTTGCCGGGTCTCTGTGGATAGAAGTAGACATGGGAGACTTTTCATTTTGTTCTGTACTAAGAAAAATTCTTCTGCCTTGGGATCCTGTTGATCTGTGACCTTATCCCCAACCCTGTGCTCTCTGAAACATGTGCTGTGTCCACTCAGGGTTAAATGGATTAAGGGCGGTGCAAGATGTGCTTTGTTAAACAGATGCTTGAAGGCAGCATGCTCGTTAAGAGTCATCACCACTCCCTAATCTTAAGTACCCAGGGACACAAACACTGCGGAAGGCCAAGGCCGCAGGGTCCTCTGCCTAGGAAAACCAGAGACCTTTGTTCACTTGTTTATCTGCTGACCTTCCCTCCACTATTGTCCTATGACCCTGCCAAATCCCCCTCTGCGAGAAACACCCAAGAATGATCAATAAAAAAAAAATAAATAAATTAAAAAAAAAAAAGAAAAAAATTAACCTATCAAAATAAAATATCAGCAGTTGAAACTAACAATGTATTAATAACAATAATATTATGACCAAGTTGCGTCTACCCCAAGAATTCAAGAATGGTTTACCATTAGAAAGTTTATTGATGTAACTGATCTCATTAACAGATTAAAGGAGAATACCCATATGATCATCTTAATAGATGCACGAAAAGCATGCAATAAAATACCTATTTATTATAACTGCTAATATTTTGTGTTTTTCCTTAAAAATGCAGTGTTTTTAGGAATTAAAGTTCAGAGCAGCAAAAGTCAAACAAAAACCAAGTCTGAGCAATAGAGCTACTACAGTGCCCATCACAGTGTCTGCTCAGGTGACTTCTTAAGGTCATGTCCAGCTCTATGTTTCTGTGACCACAAATAGCATCTTTGGCAAGTCTAGTTTCAGTTGGTCTTTGTCCAGCTCCTGGATTCCTCCATGCAGGGCCTGAGAAGCCCTGAGGGATAAAAGATTAATCCGGTTCAGTGGACTCTGTGGTTCCTCAACTCCAAGTGCCCCCAGCATAAGTCGGACCTGCCTCTCACGCAATGGATCCCCTGGCGGCAACCCGAGACCGGTTCTCCTACCCGCATTCCGCCAAGTCTCTCGCTCTGCCCAGGACGCACAGATGAGAGCGCTCCGAAGACTGGTGGGTCTATCTTTCGGTCTTTCCTAATTTTCCCGTCCTCTGGGGAAAGGTCGGGGATACCTGAACCAAAGTGTGTGTGTGTGGGGGGGGGGGGGTGTAGGTGGGGCGTGCATAGATGTGCACAACCAAGGGCTTGGCCCTCCGGAGAACGCCCAGGGGCAGTGGCCTCCGAGGTTCTGGCGGCCGGCAGTGGCGACCGGCGCAGGGAATCGCGCAGGGTTGCGGCTGAGGTCAGACCAGCGAGAGACAGAGACCCGCAGACATTTAGTCCAGAGACTGTAGCAAAGGAGGGGGACGAGGGGCCAGAGCCGGAATTTCGGGGGAGGACTTGGGAGCGCGGCGACCAGAGTCGCTTGCTGGCACTTGCGAGGGCGAATGCAGGGGCTTGGCCGAGATGACCTTGGACCAGAGCTCCCTTCCGGCCTGCAGAGATGAGCTTGGGGCTTAGCCGAGTAAGGAGTGAGCGGCTTTTCAGCCTCAGTGCTGCGGCAGAGGCGGATGGAGGATGAACTGGAGCCGTCCTTACGGCCTCGGACGCAGGTGAGCTCCCAGCGGCGGCGACAAACCCCGCGGCGGTGACCCCAAACCCCCCCCCCGCGGCGGCGACTCCCCCCCAACACGCTGGGGCGAACTCCCCAGCACCCCCAGCCCTTCTTAAAAACGCTGAGTCCGCGCATGCGCCTCAGGCGCCCTCCGCGACACTCTAGCGGCTCTGCGCTTCACTGCGCCTGAGCTTGAGTCTCAGGCCTTAGTCCCGGCCATCGTTTAGCGTTGCGCGAACCCTCAGCTGGTGCGGCCGCTCTCAATACCCACTGCGCTTGCGCTACAGCTTCGTCTCGACGGGTTTGCTCCTCTCAAACGCTCACTGCGCGTGCGCTAGCGCCTCTTTCACCACTGGGCGCTGCGCGCTGCCCTTCCCTCCGCGCACAGGCTGCCGGCTCACCGCTTGCTAATGGCAGCCGGGGTCTCCCTGGGACAGCAAGACCTCCGCTCAGGCCCCTCTTTCGAATGCTCCACGCCCTCCTGCGATCTAGAATGGTATGAATTCTCATACTTGCCCAGACCAGGCGTTTCAGATGAGGGATTGCGGACCTGAGTGAACTGCGCAGGTGCAGCCACCTGGGAGGCTTAACTAAGTCGTCAAATGTTCAAAAATATCGTGCTTGTATGTACAGTGGCGTTAGGTGCTAGGCTCAGATGTGCATAGGCAGGTGTTTACGCCCAGGGTCGGCCTGTGGGCCAGAGCAAGGTTGCTGGACCCTGGCATCCCAGCCCCCAGAGATGCTAAATCCTCTGCCGATCAGCCCTGACCTCAGAGGCAGTAAGCCCTCCGAGCGCTGCAATCCTGACTGCTCGCCCCCTCCCGAGACTGTTTCCCACCCCCGCCTCTTTCCTCCTCATGCTCCCTCAGCTCTGACCTGACGTCCTGCCTCACAGAGGGAAAGGGCGCAGCCAGAGGAGAGCGCCCGCACTGCACTGCCCACCGCTTCTAGGGGTTCCTTCCCAATCTGGACTGATTTCTTTAGGTATTTGCATGGCACATTCCCTCACCTCCTTTGTCTTGATTTGCACTTGTATTCCTTGACAGCCTTATTTAAAATAGCACCAACTAAGGTGGGAGGATCGCCCAGGAGTTCGAAGCTGCAGGGATCTAATAGGATCTCACCACTGCACTCCAGCGTGGGCGACGTAGCGAGACCTTGTCTCTAAAAAATAAAAATAAAATAAAATAAAATAAAATAGCACCACCTGGTCCAAACACTTCCTACGCCCCTTCACTGCTTTAAGTCTCTGTAGCACCAGCTGATGTACTATATATTTTGCTTGTTCATTTTGCGATTGCTTGTCTTTCTCTGCTGGAAGGAAAGCTCTGACAGCTCATGGATTTTGTCTGTTGTTCACTGCTGTATCCCAACACCTAGAACAGTAGGATTATTGACCATAATAGGGAGGCAATAAATCTTTGTTTGCTGAATTAATGGTCCCTATCGTAGCTAATGTCTGAATGCTTACCATGACCAGGCACGGTATAGGCAATCTCCATGCATGATCTCATTGAATTCAACGATTTCCTGTAGTCTTAGAGACCTGTCAATATCTCCTGCTACATGAGCTCAGCTGCCATCAAGCACTGTGTTCGCTGCTTCCTTCACATCTGCTGTCTTAAGGGAGCTCTCACTTCCATGCGGCCCCCGTGGAGCTGTAATTTGGCCTCAATGGGACCAGATGCCAGGTTTCTCACCTGGCTTCTTCCTAAGGCTTCCAGCCTTAGAGAAAGTTACTTAGGCCTTATTGGAACTATGGGCAGCCAGGGCCCCTGTCACCAACCTGTCTCCAGACCTATGGCAAGGCCTTCAGCAGGATTCTGCCCTCCAGAGCCACTTCCTCTGCTCCCCCAGCCTCCAGTGCAGTATCTCACTGAATGGTGAAAGCACAGCTGTCTCTTTCCCAGCTGTATCTTGCCCCCCAGCACACTTCCTGGCTGAGATAAACATTCAGCATTTTTTTTTTTTTGAGATGGAGTCTCACTCTGTTGCCCAGGCAGGAGGGCAGTGGCGCGATCTGGGCTTACTGCAACCTCCGCCTCCCTCCCGGATTCAAGCAATTCTGCCTCAGCCTTCTGAGTAGCTGGGATTACAGGTGCCCACCACCAAGCCCGGCTAATTTTTGTATTTTTAGTAGAGACAGGGTTTTACCATGTTGGCCAGGCTGGTCTCGAACTCCTGACCTCAAGTGGTCTGCCCACCTCGGCCTCCCAAAGTGCAGGGATTGCAGGTGTGGGCCACGACATCCGGCCAACACTCAGTATTTGACTAATAAATGAATAAATAGTCCGTAGGTTCTGGAAACTTCAGAAAACCTTAGCCAAACATCCTTCTGTCATGAAAATTGTATCAAAGTTTTCAAAAATAATACATTTAATTCTACAGAACAATTTGCCAGAACAAGAAAGGCAGTATTTTTTGGGGGAAGATATCAACGATTCAATTTTTGTAAAGTCAACTACTTTGCAAATATCTAGGAAAATACCTGAGGGAAGGAGTTAATTGTTGTGCCTTTGGAGGAGTGGAGAACTTTCAGTATATACTGAATTTTCAAAAATCTTAACAAACGTGTCATTTTGTAATTAAAAATCACAAAAGAGTGGGCTGGGTATGGTGGCTCACGCCTGTAATCCTACCACTTTGGGAGGCCAAGGCGAGTGTATCGCTTGAGCTCAGGAGTTTGAAACCAGCCTGGGCAATATGGTGAAATCCCATCTCTACAAAAAAATTAGCCCAGCATGATGGTGTGTGCCTGTAGTCCCAGCTACTTGGGGGGCTGAGGTGGGAGGATCGCTTGAGCCCAGGAGGTTGAGGCTGCAGTGAATCAAGATTGCGACACTGCACTCCAGCCTGGGTGACAAAATGAGACCTTGTCTCAAAAAACAAAACAGAAAATCACCAAAGGAGAAAGATAAATACTTCTGTGAATCCCTAAGACGACCTCAACTACAGGTCGGGTGCGGTGGCTCACGTCTGTAATCTCAGCAATTTGGAGGCTGAGGTGGGCAGATCACTTGAGGTCAGGAGTCTCTACTAAAAATACAAAAATTAGCTGGGTGTGGTGGTGCATGCCTGCAATCCCAGCTACTCGGGAGGCTGAGGCAGGAGAATCGCTTGAACTGGGAGGCGGAGATTGCAGTGAGCCAAGATTGCGCCATTGCACTCCAGCCTGGGCGGCAGAGCAAAACTCCGTCTCTTTTTTTTTTTTGAGACGGAGTCTCACTCAACCTCCACCTCCTGGGTTCAAGCAGTTCTCTGCCTCAGCCTCCCGAGTAGCTGGGATTACAGACGCCTGCCAACACGCCCAGCTAATTTTTTTTTTTTTTTGAGACGGAGTCTCGCTCTGTCGCCCAGGCTGGAGTGCAGTGGCGCTATCTCGGCTCACTGCTAGCTCCGCCTCCCGGGTTCACACCATTCTCCTGCCTCAGCCTCCCCAGTAGCTGGGTCTACAGGTGCCCGCCACCACGCCTGGCTAATTTTTTGTATTTTTAGTAGAGGCGGGATTTCACCGTGTTAGCCAGGATGGTCTCAATCTCCTGACCTCGTGATCCGCCCGCCTCGGCCTCCCAAAGTGCTGGGATTACAGGCATGAGCCACTGCGCCCGGCCAATTTTTGTGTTTTTAGTAGAGATGGGGTTTCACCATCTTGGCCAGGTTGGTCTTAAACTTCTGACATTGTGATCCACCCGCCTCGGCCTCCCAAAGTGCTGGGATTACAGGTGTGAGCCACTGCGCCAGGCCAAGACTCAGTCTCAAAAAAAAAAAAAAAAAAAAAAAAAGAAAATCCCAACTATCCCAACTACAAAGGATGAGGCATCAGGGATGCCTTGGGGAATTCTCCCTCCATCTCTAAGGGTGTTTCACTGTCCTTTTGTGTACCAAGTGTGCATGACTCATGGGTACCCAGCCTAGAAGTAGGCTTCATTATCTGCAGGTCCAGGTAAGGAAGTCACTTAGGATGAGAAAGGAAGGGGAGAGCTGGGATAGGGACCAGGCACCTGGGCCATTTATGCTGCCTCTCTACTACTCATATGTCCCCAAGTCCTTGCACCTGCAGGTCCATGTGGCATCTTCTCTTAGCCTCATTGCAGAACATGCTGGTGGGAGGTAAGAGAGGTGGCTCAGCCCAGATTCCTGGAGCCTGGCCACTCTGTTGGAGAAGGTTTTCCTGGGGCAAGTCAGAGGCTCCTGTCCTGCTGGAGGCAGAGCCTTACTCTACTGGGGCCCCAGCTCAGGGGACTGTCTTCCCCAAACACAGCAGACGTGCTCAGGGGCAGCCCAACAAGGAGGGATGGGAACCGCTCTCCAGCTCAGGGAAATGTTGGGGCTATGGGTGGGGTGAGGGTAAAGTGGGGTCCTGGACTCAGAACAGGAGGCTTGGGTTCCTCTGCTACCTGCCAGCCATGTGACCCAGGTAACTCCTCTCTGTGCCTCACTTTCCTCATCTGCAAAGTGGAGACATCACTGCCTGATTCAAATAAATTGCAATGCTGTGATTGGCAGCTCTGGTCCAGGGAGGGGGTGGAGGCTGTTGTTGGTCACTCTGTGTTCTCTCCTCTCTCCTCAGATTCAGGGCAGGATCCTGCTCCTGACCATCTGCGCTGCCGGCATTGGTGGGACTTTTCAGTTTGGCTATAACCTCTCTATCATCAATGCCCCGACCTTGGTATGTATCCTCTCTGGGTGGAGACTGTCCCTGTCTGAGTGGGTACTGGCTAACAGCTGCCCACTGAGGGGCTTCAGCCAGGCATCCACTAGGTGGCACTTTCTGCCACAAGTTTGTCTCCATTGGGTTGGCCCACAGGTTCCTGCAGGTTCAAACTGAGCATACATCTTCCCCAAACCTGCATGTCCTCCTGAGTCCCTAATCTCAGCAGATGACTCCATCTTCCACCTAGTGATGGGGGGTCAGCCTTGACTCTTCTCTTCATCTCTTGGACACTAAGTCCTTCCTAACTACCTCTGGAATCCAGCCACTTCTCCCCATGTTTCCACCACATTCCCAGTTCTGGCCCAGCCTCCTCACTGGCCTCCTTGCCTTCAGCCTCTCCCCACCTTGATCTCTTCAAGTCACTCCCCTGCTCAGAAATTTTTTTTTTTTTTCGAGATGGAGTTTCGCTCTTGTTGCCCAGGCTGGAGTGCAATGGCATGATCTTGGCTCACCACAACCTCCGCCTACCAGGTTCAAGCGATTCTCCTGCCTCAGCCTCCCGAGTAGCTGGGATTGCAGGCATGTGCCACCATGCCCAGCTAATTTTGTATTTTTAGTAGAGACGGGGTTTCTCCCTGTTGGTCAGGCTGGTCTCAAACTCCCAACCTCATGTGATCCGCCTGCCTCAGCCTCCCAAAGTACTGGGATTATAGGCATGAGACACCGTGCCCGGTCTCATCAATGTTATTTATAAAGTAGCCAGTGGAGATTAAGTTTCCGTGTTCAGCGGTGAAGCCTTGAGCTATCACGGCCTCAGCTTCATGGAAAAAGGAAGAAGAAATTTTAAAAAGCAAGCAGGGCAGGCAGACCTGACCAAATGAACCCCTCGGTTTCACTGTCTCACACCTTCGCTCCCCCAACCCTGATACCAAAGCAAGTTAAGTATAGTTCCTCAAATACCTATGACACAGCCCTTCCTCTAAGCCTCCTTCCACGGAGGGGCCCTCTCTCTTCCACCTGTAGAAGCCCACCCCAGATACCACCACCTTCTTGAAACCTTTTTGCCTCTCCAGCCCTTGGTGCAGGCTGTCCTCTCTTAGGCTGTGTGAGGGCTGTTTTGTGTCCATCTCCTCTCTCCTGCTGGTTTGCTCTCAGCATCTGAGTCATCTTTGAATCTCTGGCCCTTGATGGTAGCCTGGCCCGAGCCAATGTTCTGTGAGTGTCTGTGGAAAGGATAGGTCTTTCAGCCCCAGTGATAGAAGCCCACCTCTAACTTGCTTAAGTAAGAAGGGCAAGTACCTAATCATGTAACTGGGAATGATGGGATGTGGGGCTTCACACAGCACTGAGGGAGAGCTGCAGGAACCAGGCCCCAGGACAGAACTGTGGCTGTCCTGCCCCTGTTTTTTCTCTCTCTCTGGTTTTTTTTTTTTTTTTTTTTTTTTTTGGGACAGAGTCTTGCTCTCTCACCCAGGCTGGAGTGCAGTGGTGCAATTTCGGTTCACTGCAACCTCCGCCCCGTCCCGAGCTCAGGCGCTCAAGCGATCCTCCTACCTCAGCCTCCCAAATAATTGGGACCACAGGCATGTACAACAAAGCCCAGCTATTTTATTTGTATTTTTTAGTAGAGATGGGGTCTCATCATGTTGCCCAGGCTGGTCTCAAACTCCTGAGCTGAAGTGGTCCGCCCACCTCGGCCTCTTGAAGTTCTAGGATTACAGGCATGAGCCACCGTGCCCAGCTTGGCCTTGTTTTCATACCCAGATGGGGAGCTGCTGTCACCAGATTCACTTCCTGCCAGCTGAGAACTCACCCCACCAACAAAAGTCTTCCAGGTTAGCTCATGTAGAAAGGCAGGGAAGAGCCTGAGGGGCTGGTTTGGATTACATGTCCACTCCCAGACCAGTAATGTGGTCAGGAGGCTGGGATGCTCAGATTGGCCAGATCTGGGCCAGGTGATCACCTTTATGGGGAACCAAGGGCTGTAGTTGACCATCGAGAGAACTTCCTCCAAAGTAATATTTGCTAGCAGAAGATAGAGGTGGGGATAGAAAGAATGATAGCAGCCCAGCCTCTTAAAGAAAGGATGAGAGTTTAGAAAGGGAGATCTGAGCTGGCTGCGTTGGTTTATTTTTTATTTATTTATTTTCTGAGACAGAGTTTTGCTCTTGTTGCCCAAGCTGGAGTGCGATGGCGTGATCTTGGCTCACTGCAACCTCCACCTCCTGGGTTCAAGCGATTCTGCCTCAGCCTCCCGAGTAGCTGGGATTACAGGCGCCCACCACCACGCCTGGCTAATTTTTTGTATTTGTAGTAGAAATGGGGTTTCACCATGTTAGCCAGGCTGGTCTCAAACTCCTGACCTCAGGCGATCCGCCTGCCTTGGACTCCCAAAGTGCTGGGATTACAGGGGTGATGCATTGGTTTATTTATTCATTAATTCATCAAGCATTTGAGCACCCACTTCAGTGCACACTCAGACTAGAGAGGGGTCCATCCCAGGCCGGGCAGGGCACTCTCAGACCTTACCTCCCACAGCCATCACCAGCCCCTACGAAGGAGACTTTCCTAGGCTCAGAGGCTTCCCCTACCCTGCTGAATGGTGTTAAGTTCTAATTGTTAAAGAAAAAGTTATTCAGGCTGGGCGTGGTGGCTCATGCCTGTAATCCCAGCACTTTGAGAGGCTGAGGCAGGCGGATCATTTGAGGTCAGGAGTTTGAGACCAGCCTGGCCAACATGATTAAACCCTGTCTCCACTAAAAATAGAAATATTAGCTGGGCATGGTGGCATGTGCCGTGATCCCAGCTCCTCCAGAGGCTGAGGCAGGAAAATTGCTTGAACCCAGGAAGCGGAAGTTGCAGTGAGCTGAGATCTCGCCACTGTGCTCCAGCCTGGGCGACAGGGAGACTCCCTCTCAAAAAAAAAAAAAAAAAAACCAGAAAACAAAACTGGGCGCAGTGGCTCACGCCTGTAATCCCAGCACTTTGGGAGTCTGAGGCAGGTGGATCCCCTGAGGTCGGGAGTTCAAGACCAGCGTGACCAACATGGAGAAACCCCGTCTCTACTAAAAATACAAAATTAACCAAGCATGGTGGCGCATGCCTATAATCGCAGCTACTTGGGAGGCTGAGGCAGGAGAATTGCTTGAACCTGGGAAGCAGAGGTTGCAGTGAGCCAAGATTGCATCATTGCACTCCAGCCTGGGCAACAAGAGCAAAACTCCATCTCAAAAACAAAAACAAAAAACTATTCAATGACACTTGTCAAAGCACAGTAATGAAGACTTTATTCAAGAGGTGGCAAGCACTAGTTGTAGGGACCGTGGCAATGGGGTCCTGCCCTGAGGCAGAAAGGTTGGACTCAACTTCAAATACAGCAATGGGCAAGTGAGAACTGATAGCCAAGGAGCAGAGTGGGGTCAGCGGGTGCACAATGACTAAGAGGATCATCAGGCATTTGTGGGGGATTCTGGTTAAATTGTCCTAACAGGATTCTTGTTGAGGGCAGGCCAGGGTAACTAGACATCATGGAGGATGGCAGAGGATAAGGAGGCCGATTAGATTTTGAGAGTGATCAGATGTGGAGGATGAGGATTCTAGCTAAACCAACTTAGCACGATACTTGCTAAAATTGAACAAGGCAGAGATGAACACAGAAGTCCAAAAGTTGAGACCTAGTTGAAAAAGAGCTCAGAAGGCCGGGTGCAGTGGTCCATGCTTCTAATCCGAACACTTTGAGAGGCCGAGGTGGGAGGATTGCTTGAGCCCCGGAGTTTGAGACCAGCCTAAGCAACACAGTGAGACCCAGTATCTACAAAAAAGTAAAAAAAATGCAACAGGGCACAATGGCATGGGCCTGTAGTTGTAGGGATCTGTGAGGCTGAGGTTGGAGGATGGCTCGAGCCCAGGAGTTCGAGGCTACAGTGAGCTATGATCATGCCACTGCACTCTAGCCTGGACAACAGAGGGAGACACTATCTTTAAAAAAAAAAAAAGAAAGAAAAAAGGAAAAAAGAGCTTAGAAAACTCTGAGGAGAATCTTTGTCAATGGTCACTCTTGAGGAGTTCCACCCAATGTCAGGGGAGGCTGGCCCTGGTCCCAGCTCCTGTGGACAGTTCCTCCCCCGAGAGGCAGCTGGTGGGCACTAGGCTGACAGTCATTGCCCTGAGCTGGGCAGGGGAGAGCTGGCCCAGCACCTGAACCCGCTGCTCTCCCTTGTGTTCTGTTCTGTCAGGAGACCTGCAAATGACATTTCATCTCTAACCAAGAGAAGGGTGTCCATGTCTTCCTCATGTCTTTCCTAACCATGTGGCTTCCCTTCACTCACCTGAGGTTTGGAGTCTGGGGAGTCCAAACTACCTGGTACAACTCTGACCTGTGGCTAACGCTGTGAGCAAGTCATTTCACCTCTCCCTGAGCCTAATCCCCAGTCTTGACAGTGACCAAGGCTGGGCATGGTTGCTCATGTCTGTAATCCCGGTGCTTTGGGAGGCTGAAGCAGGAGGATTGCTTGAGGCCAGGAATTGGAGAACAGCCTGGGCAACATAGTGAGACCCTGTCTCTACAAAAAAATTTAAAAATTAGCCTGGCATGCTGGTATGTGCCTGTTAGTTTCAGCTACTCAGGAGGCTGAGGCAGGAGGGTCGCTTGAGCCCAGGAGCTGGAGGCTGCTCTGAGCTATGACCAGTGGATGGAGAGATTACTGAAATTGGAAGGAAAGAGACATAGGTCCCCTTGAGAGGATCGCAGCCAGGCTGAGGCAACCTCCCAGGGAGGGAGCCAGGGAACAGACACTCCTACTTCTCTCTCCTGCCTCCTGATGTCCTGCTGGTGCTCACCATTGGCCAAGTTGGTCAGTAAGGGAGCCTACTGATGTGGGCTGCACAGGTGGCTCCCTGGGGCAAAAGCAGGGTGGGAGGGGACTGCAGTGGATTCCTCGGGTATGGTATAATAAGAAATATAATAGATCTTTGTCCTTGGTTCCAGGCACAGAGCTCCTAAAACTCTTGGAATTTTTTTTTTTTCAGACGTAGTTTTGCTCTTGTCACTGGAGTGCAATGGTGCAATCTTGGCTCACTGCAACCTCCACCTCCCGGGTTCAAGCAATTCTTCTGCCTCAGCCTCCCAAGTAGCTGGGATTACAGGTGCCTGCCATCACACCTGGCTAATTTTTTTTTTTTTGTATTTTTAGTAGAGATGAGGTTTCACCATGTTGGCCAGGCTGGTCTTGAATTCCTGACCTGAGGTGATACGCCCATCTCGGCCTCCCAAAGTGCTGTGATTACAGGTGTGAGCCACCGTGCCTGGCCACGGAATTTCTTGAGTGATAGGAGCATCTTTTGTTATTTGCAATGAGCCCCATTTCATCATACCTGCGCTTATGGTAATGAGATGACAGGGTAGGGCCACTAGATTGCCTCAGGATGGAGCTGGTCACCAAAAAGACCAAGAGATTAGAGGGTCCGAATGTTCAGCCCCACTCACGGAGCTCTAGGAAAGGGAGAGGAGCTGAAGATTAAGGTCTATAAAAACTCTTGAATGACAAGATTTGATGAGCTTCCAGGTTCATGAACACATTGAGGTGCTGGGAAGGTGGTGCTCCTGGAGGGGACATGGAAGCCTCTAGCAACCTACTCTCCCAGGATCAGGCCCAGTGCATCTTTCCCATCTGGCTATTCATGAGTTGTATCCTTCATAACAAACCAGTAAATGTAAGTAAAGGGCCTTCCTGAGTTTCGTGAGCCATTGTTGCAAATTATCAAACCCACAGAAAGGATCCTAGGAATCCCCAATTGATGGCCAGTTGGTCAGAAGTGCAGGAGTTGCACTTGGCATCTGAAGAGGGGACAGTCTTGTGGAATGGAGCCCTTTGACTTGTGGGATTTGATGCTAACTCCAGGTGGATAGTGTCAGAATGGGATTACATTGTAGTACACCCAGCTTGTGTCCGGAGAGTTAGAGAATTGCTTGATGTGGGAAAATATCCACACATTTGCTGTCAGGAGTATTGTGTGAGTAGAGAGAAATAGTGTTTTCGCAGAGAGGGGCAAATGGAGCGAGTCCAGTGCTAGGCTCTGAGAGATATTGCCCATGAAAGAACCAGCATGGTGCCCTGCACAAGGGAGGTGCTCAGGCGAGTTGGTTCCTGCTCCAGGGGGAGCTCAGAAGACACGGTGCCTGTTGTCATTGCCTGTTCTGCAGAGGCATGGAGCCCTGTTGGGGAGAAGGCTTGTTTCATCTAGCACCCCCACGCCACCATCCCCAGAAGGCTGACTGGCATTTCTGTCCACAGCACATTCAGGAATTCACCAATGAGACATGGCAGGCGCGTACTGGAGAGCCACTGCCCGATCACCTAGTCCTGCTTATGTGGTCCCTCATCGTGTCTCTGTATCCCCTGGGAGGCCTCTTTGGAGCACTGCTTGCAGGTCCCTTGGCCATCACGCTGGGAAGGTAAGTGCTTCCTGCATACCCCCTGAATGCCCTTTAATGAGGAGCGCTGCAGCCTGCAGGCTGAGGAATGTGGAAGAAGGAAGAGGCCCGGCAAGCTCCAGGCCCAGATCAGCTCCTCATCCAGCCTCTTACTCTGCCTGGAGTTTCACCTTGCAAGACACGTCTTCAAGGGTTTGGTAGAGCAAACAGTCCTGTGCTACAAGAGAGGGAGGACTCCTGGTTTCTAATTTCATGTCTGCCAACAAGTGCTAACTGACCTTAAACAAGTTATTTTCTTCCTGGGCCTCACTCTCCTCCTGCATATCTAATGCAGTTCTTGGATTTCAAAGAATACAAACTGACTCTGATAACAGAATCAAAAATGTAATAGCTGGAAGGATAGTGGGGCAGCTCATAGCATGAAAGAAGTTCTTAGAAGCCAGGCCTGGTGAGGCATGGTGGCTCACCCACATAATCCCAGCATTTTGGGAGGCTGAGCGGGGCAGATTGCATGGGTCCAGGAGTTTGAGAACAGTCTGGGCAATATGGTGAGACCCCATCTCTACAAAAAATTAGCTAGGAATGGGCTGGGTGCAGTGGCTCATGCCCGTAATCCCAGCACTTTGAGAGGCTGAGGCGGGTGGATCACCTAAGGTCAGGAGCTTGAGACCAGCCTGACCAACATGGTGAAAACCTATCTCTACTAAACATACAAAAATTAGCAGGGCGTGGTGGCACACGCCTGTAGTCCTGGCTACTCGGGAGGCTGAGGCAGGAGAATCGCTTGACCCCGCAAGGCAGAGGTTGCAGTGAGCCAAGATCATACCACTGCACTCCAGCCTGGGCAACAGAACAAGACTCCATCTCAAAAAAAAAAAAATTAACCAGTTATGGTGGTGCATGCCTGTAGACTCAGCTACTCGGGAGGTTGCGGCAGGAAGATCACCTGAGCCCAGGAGATCGAGGCTGCAGTGAGCCTTGATTGTGCCACTGTACTCCAGCCTGGATGACACAGTGAGCCCCTGTCTCAAAACAGCTCGCTTACTAGCAATCTTAGTCTATTTTTGTTGCCATAACAAAATAACTGAGACTGGATAATGTATAAAGAACAGAAATTTACTTTCTCACAGTTCTGGAGGCTGTGAAGTCCAAGATCAAGGCACCCAGCAGATGCAGTGTACCGTGAGGGCTACTCTTTCTGCTTCCAAGATGGTGCCTTGTCCCTGTGTCCTCACATGGCAGAAAGGGCGAATGCTGTGTCCTCATATGGTGAAAGACAAAAGGGCAAAAGGCAAAAAGAGCCTGCCTAGTTCCCTCCAGCCCTTTTATAAAGCACTAGTCCCATCAATGAAGGTGGAGTTCTCATGGCCTAATCAATCTCCCAAAGGCCCACCTCTAAATACCGTTGCATTGGAAATTAAATTTCAACCTGAATTTTGGAAGAGACACAAACCTTCAAACCATAGCACCAGCACTGGATCAGCAAGACTGGATTAGACCACTGGGCTCATATCTGCACCGTGGGGAGTAGGGGAACAGTCGCAAACAAAAGTGGGGCTCTTCCCACGAAGAAGACGGAGGTAATAACTATTGCGCGGCTATCTCATGATACCTGGTACAGTTGGCATAAGCATGAAAGGAAGAAATTAAAAATTCAAGTTTAGCATGTATGCCTATTGTAATTAAAGCAAATGTCTGTTCCCCTCCCCAGGACAGGGGGATGTAGTTCTTCCATTCAGCAGCTGACTGGAGCTCTGAAATGTGTTGCCATTGTTGGGTGCTCAGGGTTGGTTGTGTAGGGGAACACAACCATCTTGGTGACAGGAAGCCCCTATTGTTCAGCCCATGTGCATTTTCTGTCCTTGCTACCCTATTTGCTTTGTTTATCACCCAACTGAGTAAGCACCGGGATGGTCAAGGAAGGCAGTTGAATGCCATCTACAGATAGAGGGTCATATTGTCCATCTGCTTATGAAGAGCCTCTTTGTAGTGGGAGGGGGCTTCTGATAAGCAGAAATATATTTATGTATATTTTCACGTTCTGGGCTAATTTTATTTTATTTTTTATTTTTTATTTTTTATTTTTTTTGAGACGGAGTTTCGCTCTTGTTGCCCAGGCTGGAGTGCAATGGCGTGATCTCGGCTCACCGCAACCTCCGCCTCCCGGGTTCCAGTGATTTTCCTGCCTCAGCCTCCCGAGTAGTTGGAATTACAGGCGCCCACCAGCACGCCTGGCTAATTTTGTATTTTTAGTAGAGATGGGGTTTCTCCATGTTGGTCAGGCTGGTCTCGAACTCCTGACCTCAGGTGATTCACCCACCTCAGCCTCCCAAAGTGCCGGGATTACAGGCGTGAGCCACCGCGCCCAGCTATATTTTCAGGTTCTGGGCTAATTTTAAAAGATTCACCCACTTAGTGTTTCCCCGTACCTCCTTGAAACCAGTCTTCAAATTCTGCTTCATCTAAGACTTTTTGTCCAACCAAATCTTTTGAAAAAGGGACAGGCCGGGTGCAGTGGCTCCTGCCTGTAATCCCAGCACTTTGGTAGACTGAGGCGGGGGGATCACCTGAGGTCAGGAGTTCAAGACCAGCCTGGCCAACATGGTGAAACCCCATCTCTACTAAAACTACAAAAATTAGACGGGCATGGTGGTGGAGACGCCTGTAATCCCAGCTACTCGGCAGGCTGAGGCAGGAGAATCACCTGAACCCAGGAGGCAGAGGTTGCAGTGAGCCAAGATTGTGCCACTGCACTCCAGCCTGGTAGACAAGAGTGAGACTCCATCTCAAAAAAAAAAAAAAAAGGAAAGGAAAAGAGGCAAAAGAAGTCCATGCTAGACCAGGAACGGTGGCTCACGCCTGTAATCCCAGCACTTTGGGAGACCGAGGCGGGCGGATCAGGAGGTCAGGAGATCGAGACCATCCTGGCTAACATGGTGAAACCCCATCTCTACTAAAAAAATACAAAATAATTAGCCGGGCATGGTGGCGGGTGCCTGTAGTCCCAGCTACTCGGCAGACTGAGGCAGGAGAATGGCGTGAACCTGGGAGGCGGAGCTTGCGGTGAGCCGAGATCATGCCACCGCACTCCAGCCTGGGTGACAGAGCAAGACTCTGTCTCAAAAAAAAAAAAGCCCATGCTAAAAAATCTGTCTATAGGATAAGTTTAAGTCCTTCATTACCTTTTGGGTCCAAGCTGATGTGAGTGACCTATTCATGGGAAACTTTGGGGTCCACATTGGGCAAGTTTGGTTTATACCACTTCTATTCAGTGATGGAGTGCTGCAGGGGACACTCAACCTTAGTAGGAGGGTGTCATACAGCACCCAGTTATGATGAGTACATGGCCCTGTGGCATCCCGCAGCCTGGTGTTTATTCCCCACTAGGGCCTAGTGACAAGGCCAGGAGCTCTTTCTCCTTAAGAGGTTAGCAGGCTGGGCATGGTGGCTCATGCTTATAATTCCAGCACTTTAGGAGGCCAAGGCAAGAGGATCTCTTGAGCCCAGGAGTTTGAGACTAGCCTGGGCAACATAGCAGAACCCCATCTCTACAAAAAAACAAAAAATAGAAAAAATTAGCTGGGCATCGTGGCACACACCTATGGTCCCAGCTACTAAAGAGTCTGAGGTGGGAGGATCACTTGAGCCTGGGAGGTCGAGGCTGCAGTGAGCTGTTATAGCACCACTGCACTCAAGCCTAGGTGACATAGTGAGACCCTATCTCTGAATATATATATATATATGTATATGGATAGTAATTTGCTGAAGGAGAGTAGCTCAACTTAAAAAGCTTTGGTTTTGCATTGTGATCCCCTTTTAGGGTATTTTAACTGCCACTTTGAGCACCACAGGCTCTCCTAAAGCTAAAGGGTTGAGTGGCAGAGCTCTTTGAACTTGGCTTGGGGCCACGATCATGTATAGTTGCTAGTACTCTGCGATGTGAATTTGGCTTCGACCCACTAGAGAATATACTTCTCTTGCTTAGCACCACTCAAAGCTACCAGGTTTTCAAGTCACCTGATAAATGTGCCAGGTCACGACACCTGATGTGGTATTCTGCTGCCTCCAAAATGGAAAGAAGCTCTCAGAGGTTTGTCCCTCCTTCTTAGAGGAAGGGGACCAAGGTGCAGCAATTTGTCATGCACTTTGGAGAAAATACGCTGCCACCTCTTAGTCCTCTAGACCTCAGGAACTTCGTTGGAGTGGCAGCCCCCTATCTCGTTATTAATCTTCTACTCTTTGTCACACTGTGCCTTACCAAGACTTCTAGTGCACTTGCTGCTTCCTCTTCTCCAGGTCCTTTCTGTGTGAACTCATCAAAATAGTGGGACAGCAGCATGTCCTGTGGGATGCACAGCTCCCTGTGGAATGGACTGTGGCCTGCAGCTGGGCAGCTGCTATATCCTTTTTATTTTTTTTGCGACGGAGTCTCGCTCTATCACCCAGGCTAGAGTGCAATGGCATGATCTCGGCTCACTGCAACCTCCGCCTCCCGGGTTCAAGAGATTCTCCTGCCTCAGCCTCCTGAGTAGCTGGGATTACAGGCACGTGCCACCACGCCCTGCTAAATTTTGTATTTTTAGTAGAGACGGGGTTTCACTATGTTGGTCAGGCTGGTCCCGAACCCCTGACCTCAGGTGATCCACCCGCCTCGGCCCCCTCAAGCTACTGATTACAGACACGTGTGTGTGTGTGTGTGTGTGTGTGTGCACGCGTGTGTGTAGCATGGTGGGGGGAGCACAGTGCAAGACCTTGAATTTATTTATTATTTATTTATTAGACGGGTTCAAGCGATTCTCCTGCCTCAGCCTCCCCACTACCTGGGATTACAGGTGCCTGCCACCATGCCTGGCTAATTTTTGTATTTTTAGTAGAGATGGGGTTTCACCATGTTGGCCAGGCTGGTCTCGAACTTCTGACCTCGTGATCCCCCCACCTCAGCCTCCAAAAATGCTGGGATTATAGGCGTGAGCTGCTGCACCCAGCTGCTGCTATATACTTAAGGCAGATCGGAGGAGGTATATGACTGTTCCAGCAAGGTGAATGCTAAGTGTTTTTGGCAATGTCTGTGTATTGAAATGGAGCAAAATGCACTCACTAGATTGAAGTACTTAATTATTATTAATGGATTTATTAATTCCAGTGAGGAAAATGTATATTATTGTAATTATAATTATTAGTTACAATTGGAGTTACCACTGGATCGAGTTTGTTATAATCTACTGTCATTTTTCATTCTCTAGACACAAGAGACCTAAGCTTTGGCTCATATTTTATCACCAATGTGCTGGTGACTTTGAGCAGAACACTGGCCACTTCTGGTCTTCAGTTTCCCTCTCAGTACAGTGAGCTATATGATCACAGTGAGCTCTCCTGGGTGATCTGTATGGCAGCACTTCTGAGCTCAATATGAGGAGCCAAAGCTAATGCTTCATCATGATGGAGCAGGTGACATTTCCAATGTCCCCTCCTTGGGTTGGTGTCTGTCCCATTGACCAAGGCATTGAGATATACAGCCATTCTGAGTTGTGAGAAGTGACTCTGTAATACATGGAGGAAAATATAAGGAAACTCTACTTGACTATCTATACGTCTCTTCCTTCACTCTTAAAGTCCCTGTTCTTCCTCCCTGGAGTTTTATTGAATCTGAGAAATTACATATTAGTACCTTCATTGTTGCTGTTGAGACAGGGTCTCACTCTGTCACCGAGGCTGGAGTGCAGTGGCGTGATCATGGCTCACTGCAGCCTCGTACTCTTGGGCTCTAGCAATCCTCCCACCTCAGCCTCCTGAGTAGCTGAAATTACAGGCGTGCGCCATCATGCATGGCTAATTTTTTTTTTTTTTTGAGATGGAATTTTGCTCTTGTTGCCCAGGCTGGAGTGCAATGGCGCAATCTTGGCTCACCACAACCTCTACCTCTCGGGTTCAAGCGACTCTCCTGCCTCAGTCTCGAGTAGCTGGGATTACAGGCATGTGCCACCATGCCTGGCTAATTTTGTATTTTTTTTAGTAGAGACAGGGTTTCTCCATGTTGGTCAAGCTGGTCTCAAACTCCTGACCTTAGGTGATCCACCCACCTCAGCATCCCAAAGTGCTGGGATTACAGGCGTGAGCCACCGCGCCCAGCCTAATTTTTTTTGTATTTTTTGTAGAGATAGGGTTTCATCATGTTGACCTGCCTGGTCTCCTGGGATCAGGTGATCTGCCCGCTTCAACCTCCCAAAGTGTTGGGATTAAAGGCATGAGCCACCATGCCCAGCCCAATTTTTACAGATATTTTAAAAATTATGTGTTACAACAGACGTGTAAGTGTAGGAGCTCTCATCTCATTTGACAGCAAGGATACCAGGACTCAAAGTAGTTAATGGCATACTACATACATTTGTGTGTGTGTCTAATTAAGGCTTGTTACAGTTGCAAAGAGTGGTCCCCAGGGATGGTCCCGCTGGACTGAATCACAGCCTCTCTTTCTGTGTGTTTCACTTCCCCCAAGGAAGAAGTCCCTCCTGGTGAATAACATCTTTGTGGTGTCAGCAGCAATCCTGTTTGGATTCAGCCGCAAAGCAGGCTCCTTTGAGATGATCATGCTGGGAAGACTGCTCGTGGGAGTCAATGCAGGTATGGGGTGGGGGCTTCTCATCCTGCCTCTCTATGCCTATTAATTAATAAATTCATTAATTCCTTTTATTTCATTTCTTCCTTCATTTCCTCCCTTTATTCATTCATTTATTTTTTATTTATGCCTACCTTTGTCACAAAAGGATGTAGTATAGTTTATCTTAAAGGGCTCATATAACTAGATATTTAAAGTAGGTACAGAACAATGGAAAAGTTGTGTAGGGGTGGGGGAATAAGCATCTCCAAACTTAACACTAATACAGGTCCCATGTTTGAGTAACACTCTAAGCCATGAGCTTCCTGGTAGCCAACGTGTAAAGGGATATAGGATGAGTTTTCTGATCTTCTCTCAGAAGCAGAATGGCCTGTTAGGTACTCCTCGATTTCTGGGGCTTTTCATGTGAGAGAGCAGAATTTTGAGCACATCCACCTGGGTTTTTAGGGGCTCCAACCAACAAGTCATCTCTTGACGCCCTACTGTTTATACAGCCCAGTGGTGATGTTATCTATATGATGCTATCTATATTAGTTATCTATTTGTGTGAAACAAATAACCCCAAAATTAAGTGACTTAAAATAATCAACATTTATAATCTCACAGTTTCTGTGGGCCAGGAACCCAGGAATGTCTTAGGTAGGTGGCTCTGGCTTGGGGTCTCTGACGGGGCTGTGCTCAAGCTGTCAGGGCTGCAGACATCAGAAGGGTTGGCTGGGGCTGGAGGATCCACTTCCAAGATGCTCCCTCACGTGCCATTGGCAGGAGGTCTCAGCTGCCCACTTTGGGGGGCTCTCCACAGAGCTGCTTGAGGATCTTCACAACATGGCAGCTGGCTTCTTCCAGAGTGATCTGAGGGGGTGAGGAGGGGAGGGAGAGAGAGGGAGACAGGGAGACAGAGAGAGGGCATGCACAAGGAGAAGTCCAGGTGCTTTTTATGTCCTAATTCCAGAGGTCATACACCATTATTCTGCTCATTAGAAGTGAGTTACTAAGAGTAGCCCACGATCCAGGGGAAAGGAACCAGGTCAGACTTTGTCTTCATGTCCCAAGTACCCATCAGAGAAGGAATCCCCAGCTAAATGTTTGTAGGAAGAGCAGGGGCACCTCCGAGACTCCTTGGCAATCAGCATAGCTGCCTTCCTTCCAGTTATCTTTGCCCAACTCGTAGATAGAGGGGCAGGACCTTGATGGGAGAACCCCTAGGTCAGGGAGGGCATACTGCATTCCCAGGGGCGTGACACCACAACACAGTGGCCTCTTAGCTTTTGCCATTTGTCACCCTCTGGGAGGGCGCTGGGGTGCTCTCCAGCTCTCTGTTTTCCTGAGGGCAGTGTAGGTGCCAGGGTCTTCCCTGGGGGAGCCAGGGTGAGGTGAGAGCAGCTGTAGTGATCAATGAAGGAATTGACATGAGTGCTGGGACAGCTGGTAGGCATCCAGGATGTGGTCCTACCTTCCTCCTCCCACCCCCCCGCACAGCCCCGTCAGAGTCCTTCACACTCGGGTCCCAGTGATGGGACCTAGGAAGAGCCCATGAACATGTGGTACTGTGGCCAGGGACCAGGATGGGAGCGGATCTGAGAAAGCCCTCCCTCAGAAGTTCTGAAGAGTAGAGTTGGGATCCTG
Organism: Homo sapiens; assembly: GCF_000001405.40. NCBI lineage: Eukaryota > Metazoa > Chordata > Mammalia > Primates > Hominidae > Homo > Homo sapiens. Next base: position 113,225 of record NT_187633.1, read on the forward strand.
TTGGCCCTTCATCAGGTGAAGCAGAACCCCTGAGTGTGGGGGGTGAGGGATCAGCCCTCAGTGCCAGGATCCAGTTGAGTGGCTGGACAGTGCTGAGTGGGGCAGGGGAGACAGGCTGGGTGTCGTGGAGTGGGGGTCCCAGCTGGTGGCTGACGTGCCTCTGCTGTGCACACGTCCAGGTGTGAGCATGAACATCCAGCCCATGTACCTGGGGGAGAGCGCCCCTAAGGAGCTCCGAGGAGCTGTGGCCATGAGCTCAGCCATCTTTACGGCTCTGGGGATCGTGATGGGACAGGTGGTCGGACTCAGGTAAGCACCCCTCCCCCACATGCATTGAGTATTTCGGAGATACCAGTAAAAGCGTTTCTTCACCTAAATGTCTCCCCTACCCACTAGTAGATTAAAGCATTATTGCTTTGCATGAAGGCATCGAATCCTCTATCCACATCTCTGCTGCCAATTCACGAAATGGGTATCAGTCAACACACTGCAATGTGAATCACCTTTTCCCATCCTCTCCAGGTCAGGGAGCAAAGAACAGGTCTTCACAGAGGAGAGGGTGAAGATTTGGGCTTTCAAAGACAAACGTGTTCCAGTCATTCCAGAAAAAAGAGGAGAAGGCAGAGCCTGGACCCTTGGGAAGAGGAGTTGCTAGGGATGAGGTGGGGCAGTGGCCCTGTCCTCTCTTGGTCCCAACCTGGGTGGGAGGGATCTTGATGTTCAGACCCAGACTTGGATAGGAAGAGGCACGGGGCAATTGCAGACTCCCTGCAGGGAGGTGTGTAGGTGGGCAGGAGAGCAGGGTGGTAGGACTCTGGCAAAGAGGCATCTGGCCTGGCCTCTCCTCTGCCTCCTTAGGGAGCTCCTAGGTGGCCCTCAGGCCTGGCCCCTGCTGCTGGCCAGCTGCCTGGTGCCCGGGGCGCTCCAGCTCGCCTCCCTGCCTCTGCTCCCTGAAAGCCCGCGCTACCTCCTCATTGACTGTGGAGACACCGAGGCCTGCCTGGCAGGTGAGTCTCTGTCCTTGGGCTCCCAGACTGCCCTTGACCAAGGGATGCATCTCCCCAGAGTATACGGGTCCCCATTTCATAGGTTTCATTTATCAAGGAAAAGCTATCCCTCTCTTTGTGCCTCAATTTCATGATCTGCCTATACCTGCCTTCAATCAGAACTCTATCAAGTGGTTGTCCTAACTGCCAGGCAGCAGAATGGATCAGACCTAGCCACTGTTACTCAAGAACTCCAGAGCGGTGCGGAGAAACACACGCGCACACACACGGTGAAACACCTGTGCAAGACCTCACCTACCCAGTGCCAACTGGGTGATGGTCATCTTATATCAGTTAACTTTGGCTACAGTAAGAATGCCTAAGGAACAATCGCAACATTTCTGCTTTAAAGCAACAATTATTTACTGCTTCTTTTATTCATGTACTTGCCTGGCTGGCTGCACAGCTCTGCTGATCTCAGCTGGGCTAGTTCACAGTGTGGGGCGGGGGAGGGGGGCAGTGGTGAGGTTCAGCTGCTGGTTGGCCGGTCTAGGCTGGTCTGGACTGGAGCCATTCAGCTTTGCTGCACTTTCTGTCCTCTCACTTTTGGTACCAACGAGTTAGCCTAGGAATAGCATGGTGATGGCAGAGAAACAAGAAAGCAAATCCAGTTGCATAAGCGCTTTCCAAACCTTTGGTTCCCTCGTGCCATTAACATTCCATTGGCCAAAGCGAGTCAGTCATACTGCCAAATCCCAAGTCAAGGGATGGGAAAATTGATGGCATATCCTCTCCCATCGCAAGGGCTGTGGATTTAAGGAGGGGTGAAGACCGGGGCCCATTAGTGTACTCTTCTCTGTCACCATGGCCGCAATTATTACTTATGTCTCTCCTCTGTGCAAAATGTGTTCAGTCCCATCCCAGGATCCCCCAAAGTCTCATCCAATCATGGCATCGGGCTTGAAGTCCCAGATCTTACGCCACATTAAGTCTATATGGGCCTTTTCTTGATCCAGAAACCTAGGATCTAGAAAGATGAGTCTTCTTCCCTTCCCACACTCAGCATGCAATGGTAAAAAGTAAGATGAGGTAACCAAAATTAATGCTCTCATTTCAAAAACGAGGAAGCAAGGCAGGCACAGTGCAGTCACTAATCTATAACAATTCTGAAGCGCCCCTAGGAAAATATGGCCATGTCCCCTGCCTTGGGGGTAGGGAGTATTCTTTGTTCAAGTTCCAGCTCTGTCCCCTACCCCCTATGAAGGGCACCCCAGGCCATGGTTCTTTTATTTTTTTTATTTTTTTTATCTTTTAGAGACAGGTTCTCGCTTGTCCAGGCTGGAGTGCTGTGGCTGTTCATAGGCATGACGCCATTGTTGATCAGCACGGAAGTTTTCTTCTTTTTTGTTCTTGTTTTTTTGGTTTTGTTTGGGACAGGGTCTCACTCTGTCGCCCAGGCTGGAGTGGTGTGATCTCAGCTCACTGCAACCTCCACCTCCCAGGCCCAATCAATTCTCCCACCTCAGCCTCCTGAGTAGCTGGGACTACTGGCCCGTGCCACCACGCTTGGCTAATTTTTTTTTATTATTGTATTTTTTGTAAAGATGGAGTTTCACCTCTTTGCCTGGGCAGGTCTCAAACTCCTGAGATCAAATGATCCTCCCCCCTTGGCCTCCCAAAGTGCGTGGATTATAGGCATGAGCCATTGTATCTGGCTAGCATGGGAGTTTTGAACTGTCCCATTTCCAACCTGGGCCAGTGCATTCCTCCTTAGGCAGCCTGGTGGTCCCTGCTCCTGGGATGTCACTATATTGATGCTGAACTTAGTGCAGACACCTGATCTGCCTAGCGTACTACAACCCAGAGCTCCTGGGCCCAGGCGATCCTCCTGTCTCAGCCTCCTGAGTAGCTGGGACTCTAGGCACACACCACTATGCGTGGCTCTCCATGCTTCTTGGGTCTACCCTCTGAGATGTTTTTCCTTTTCTTTCACCTTCCTTGATTCCTTCTGAAGAGGGCGTTGCACAATGTGCTGCTTTTGATGGTTGAGCAAATTTCTCAGCCTCCTTCCTGCCTATAGAGAGTTGGGGCAGGCTGGGCGCCAGCTCACGCCTGTAATCCCAGGGAGGCTGAGGCGGGCAGATCACGAGGTCAAGACATCAAGACCAGCCTGGCCAACATGGTGAAACCCCATCTCTACTAACAATACAAAAATTAGCTGGGTATGGTGGCACGTACCTGTAGTCCCAGCTACTAGGGAGGCTGAGGCAGGAGAATTGCTTGAACCCGAGAGGCGGAGGTTGCAGTGGCAGGAGAATTGCTTGAACCCGAGAGGCGGAGGTTGCAGTGAGCCAAGATTGTGCCAGTGCACACTGCACTCCAGCCTGGTGACAGAGTGAGACTCCATCTCAAAAAAAAAAAAAAAAAAAAGAAAAGAAAAGAAAACAAAGTTGGGGCACAGAAGTCTTTATATTTCAAATTGTCCTGGTCTTTTTTTTGTCCAAACTGGCAGAGCTTTTGCCAATACAACTTTCTCAAAAATGATGTGAATTTTCTATGTATTCGAGGTTTTTTCATGTGTCAACAAACCACGCTCACAATTATTTTTGAGACAGGCTTCTCTCCCAAGGCCTAATTGCTGGTATTTAGGGTATGTCAGGCTACCGTGAATCAACGCCCTCAAGCCTCCTAAATGCCCCCTTTTCTAGTTGTGAGGGTCTGTGAGGCACTGCTTTAAGCTATACCCTTGATTTGATCTTTACTATGAGTCCATGGCTTCCTGGCAGTGCTCTGGATTTGATCTTTGCTCACAGGCTGTTACTTAATTTGGGATTCTTTTGCTAGCTGGAGAGGATAGAGGCGAGAAAACATTTTTTGTTGTTGTTTTCAACTAACCCAGTGTTTCTGAAATATGCTACGTTTAATTAAATTTTGTTGCCTCTGAATTCTGCTTGCAAACTGGCCAGTTATTTTCTGAGCTAATTCTTCATGTCTTACAGCAAGCTTAGAATATGCATCTAACAGCAACCAGTTCATGCTTTCAACATTTGGAGTTTTCTTTGCTCAAGTCCATAAGTTCACTGAGCCCATTTTCTTTCTTCCGTGTTACTGCACTATATAACATAGCTTTTCATTTCTCCAGCCTCATCGCCGTCCTCTGCCTCGTCTTGGAACTGATACCATATTTCACAGGTCTTTGTTACGGTAGCACCAACTCCTGGTGCCAATTTATTGATCAGCTTTCTATTGCTGACTAATAGATGATCATAACATCTCGGTGGTAAAGAAACAAAAAAAGCAATTATTTAGCCTAAGCCTCTAAGTCCTCTGGGCTGGGCTGATCTAGGATGGTTCTGGCTGATGGCTCTGCTGATCTTGGTCATTCCTGCAACTGCAGCTCAGCTGGGCATTGGCTGGCTGATCTAGAATAGTCCCAGTGAGGGTGGCTTAGCTGGGCCCCTTTGGCTGTCCATGTCTTGTCATCCTCCTGGCTAGCCTGGAATGTTCTCATGAAGGCAGAAGAGCAAGTAGAAGTGAGCAAGGCCTCTTAAGGCTTAGGCTGGAACATGGTACGCCCTCACTGCAGCCTCATCCTATTGGCCGAGCCCAGAGCCAGGAGCAGGGATGTAGGCAGTACTTGCCCCTTTAGTGGGAGGAACTGCAAAATCACACAGCAAGCAGTGTGGGTGCAGGGAGGGGTGAAGAATTGGGTTTGATAATGTGCTGCAATAGTCATGTCCTGTCTGATATGTCCGCAGAACCCTGCGTTTCTTTCTAAAGCCTTTTTTCATCCATGGTGGCAACACCGCAACAGCCCTGAGAAATGTCAGGGCAAGGAAGATCATCTCCATCTGACCAGGGAGGCAAACAGAGACAGAGAGATTGAGAGAGACAGAGGCAGAGAGAGAGAAACACACACACACACAGACAGACACAGAGACAGAGAGATTGAGAGAGACAGAGGCAGAGAGAGAGAGAAACACACACACACACAGACACAGAGACAGAGAGATTGAGAGAGACAGAGGCAGAGAGAGAGAAACACACACACACACAGACACAGAGACAGAGAGATTGAGAGAGACAGAGGCAGAGAGAGAGAGAAACACACACACACACACACACACAGAGACAGAGAGATTGAGAGAGACAGAGGCAGAGAGAGAGAGAAACACACACACAGACACAGAGACAGAGAGATTGAGAGGCAGAGAGAGAAACACACACACACACAGAGACACACACAGAGACAGAGAGATTGAGAAAGACAGGCAGAGAGAGAGAGAAACACACACACACAGACACAGAGACAGAGAGATTGAGAGAGACAGAGGCAGAGAGAGAGAGAAACACACACACACACACAGACACAGAGACAGAGAGATTGAGAGGCAGAGAGAGAAACACACACACACACAGAGACACACACAGAGACAGAGAGATTGAGAGAGACAGAGGCAGAGAGAGAGACACACACACACACAGACAGACTCAGAGACAGAGAGTGAGCCAAGAAGGAAAGGAATGGTGGGATGGAGGGGGGCGTCCCTGTAGGGGGACCAAAGAGGGGCTTGGGGACGGGGAGCTCAGTACCCTCCTCCCTGGCTCAGCACTACGGCGGCTCCGGGGCTCCGGGGACTTGGCAGGGGAGCTGGAGGAGCTGGAGGAGGAGCGCGCTGCCTGCCAGGGCTGCCGTGCCCGGCGCCCATGGGAGCTGTTCCAGCATCGGGCCCTGAGGAGACAGGTGACAAGCCTCGTGGTTCTGGGCAGTGCCATGGAGCTCTGCGGGAATGACTCGGTGAGACCCCTGCCCCGCCGCACACCCTGGGCCCCGGGGGCTTGGTGTTGCAGGCCGCTGGGAGCCATGGGAGGTGGAAGGGAGCCCAGGCCTGAAAGCCACCCTCTCCCAGGTGTACGCCTACGCCTCCTCCGTGTTCCGGAAGGCAGGAGTGCCGGAAGCGAAGATCCAGTACGCGATCATCGGGACTGGGAGCTGCGAGCTGCTCACGGCGGTTGTTAGTGTGAGTCTGGAGGGTGCCCTTCCTCCACCAGCCCTGTGGGGAGGGACCCCCAGGTCCTCTGCATTAAACCAGTTTACACTCCAGCTTATGGTGTTAAAATGCAGTGAGGGGCCAGGTGCGGTGGCTCATGCCTGTAAGCCCAGCACTTTGGGAGGCCGAGGTGGGTGGATCACAAGGTCAGGAGTTCGAGACCAGCCTGGCCAACACAGTGAAACCCCCGTCTCTACTAAAAAATACAAAAAATTATCCCGGCGTGGTGGCGGGCGCCTGTAATCCCAGGTACTTGGGAGGCTGAGGCAGGAGAATCGCATGAACCCAGTAGGTGGAGGTTGCAGTGAGCCGAGATGGTGCCATTGCACTCCAGCCCAGGCAATAGTGCTGAGGTGGGATCAGGAGTTGGAGACCAGCCTGGGCAACATGGTGAAACCCCGTCTCTACAAAAAATACAAAAATTAGCCAGGCGTGGTGGTCTTCGCCTGTAGTGCTAGCTACTGGCGAGGCTGAGGTGGGAGGATCACTTGAGCCTAGGAGGTTGAGACTGCAGTAAACCGAGATTGTGCCACTGCACTCCAGCGTGGGCTGGACCAGTGAGACCCTGTCTCAGCTCAGTGAGACCAGTAAGACCCTGTCTCAATCAATCAATCAATGCAGTGAGTTAGAGAGCATCTATTGAGCATCTACGGTTTGCGGGTCACTTCCAGCACCATTTTGAGATGCGGAAACTGGCTGAAGTTGGGTGATTGATTGACCAAGTTCCTTTGGGAAATTAATAAAGTCACACTGAAGCAATAAACTACCCTCACCTCCACCACCAGCTTTCTCAGGAGACCCCTTCCCATTGCCTGCCCCAGACCTCAGGGACCATGGCTGGGTGTGTGGGTCTGTGCTTTCTGCCTTTGCAGTGTGTGGTAATCGAGAGGGTGGGTCGGCGCGTGCTGCTCATCGGTGGGTACAGCCTGATGACCTGCTGGGGGAGCATCTTCACTGTGGCCCTGTGCCTGCAGGTAGCTGGGGTGGATGAGGGCTGGGGGGTCCAGGCCGGGCTGACTTCCACCTCACCCCCGCCCCGTCCACGGCAGAGCTCCTTCCCCTGGACACTCTACCTGGCCATGGCCTGCATCTTTGCCTTCATCCTCAGCTTTGGCATTGGCCCTGGTGAGTGGGCCCAAGGGGCTCTGGGCATCCATCATCACATAGAAGGAGTGATGGGTGCCTGGGTGCACAGTGGGTGGGTGTGAATGCAATGTCCCCTGCAGGCCCTCAGAGACCACCTCATGCCGGGGCTTCTGGGAGGGAATGGCAGGAGGAGAGCACTGAGGGGCCCCCCATACAGACTGGGCCTGGGCTCCCACTCCCATGTCTGGGCTGGGGTCGGGGAGAGGCAGGCAGGGAACCCTGGCCAGCAGCCCCCTGTCCCTGCCCCTCCTTCTAGCCGGAGTGACGGGGATCCTGGCCACAGAGCTGTTTGACCAGATGGCCAGGCCTGCTGCCTGCATGGTCTGCGGGGCGCTCATGTGGATCATGCTCATCCTGGTCGGCCTGGGATTTCCCTTTATCATGGTAGGCCCGCCCCTCCCGCTGGGGGCCCTGCCTTAGGCTGTGTCCCTGTCATCCTGAGAACCCCAGGGGGAGGCTTCCATCCAGGGAGACTGAGACTGAAAGGGAGGGGTCTTAGGGGAGCAAAGAGGGGGGCAAATGCCTCCTCACGACCTGTCATGGGCCTTCTGTTTAGGGGTTGATGGAGACACACCAGGTCTTGGGGTCTTTTTTAATCCGCAGGAGGCCTTGTCCCACTTCCTCTATGTCCCTTTCCTTGGTGTCTGTGTCTGTGGGGCCATCTACACTGGCCTGTTCCTTCCTGAGACCAAAGGCAAGACCTTCCAAGAGATCTCCAAGGAATTACACAGACTCAACTTCCCCAGGCGGGCCCAGGGCCCCACGTGGAGGAGCCTGGAGGTTATCCAGTCAACAGAACTCTAGTCCCAAAGGGGTGGCCAGAGCCAAAGCCAGCTACTGTCCTGTCCTCTGCTTCCTGCCAGGGCCCTGGTCCTCACTCCCTCCTGCATTCCTCATTTAAGGAGTGTTTATTGAGCACCCTTTGTGTGCAGACATGGCTCCAGGTGCTTAGCAATCAATGGTGAGCGTGGTATTCCAGGCTAAAGGTAATTAACTGACAGAAAATCAGTAACAACATAATTACAGGCTGGTTGTGGCAGCTCATGACTGTAATCCCAGCACTTTGGGAGGCCAAGGTGGGAGGATCAATTGAGGCCAGAGTTTGAAACCAGCCTAGGTAACATAGTGAGACCCCCTATCTCTACAAAAAATTTTAAACATTAGCTGGGCATGGTGGTATGTGCTAACAGCTCTAGCTACTCAGGAGGCTGAGGCAGCAGGATCACTTGAGTCCAAGAGTTCAAGGTAGCAGTAAGCTACAATCACACCACTGCATGCCAGACTGGGTGACAGAGGGAGACTTCATCTCTTTAAAACATAATAATAATAATTACAGACTCAGGAAATGCAGTGAAAGAAAAATACAGGTTGGCCAGGTGAGGTGGCTGATGCCTGTAATCCCAGCACTTTGGGAGGCCAAGATGGGAAGATTGCTTTGAGACCAGAAGTTTGAGACCAGCCTGGGCCACATAGTAAGATCCTGTTTCTACCAAAAAAAAAAAAAAAAAAAATTAGCTGGGTGTGGTGGTACATGCCTGTGGTCCCAGCTACTCAGGAGGCTGAAATGGGAGGATCACTTGAGCCTGGGAGGTCGAGGCTGCAGTGAGTCCTAATTGAGCCACTGCACTCCAGCCTGGACAACAGAAAGAGACCATGTTTCAAAAAAAATAAATACAGGTTGTAGTGGGTATGGGTATGCATACCAGGAGGCCCGACCTCGTCTGAGAGGGGAGTGGTCAGAAAAGAATTTTCTGAGGAATTGATGTTTTTAATCAACTTTATTGAGGTATAATTTATACATAACCAACTGCATCCATTTTAAGTATATATTTGGCGAGTTTTGAGTTCTAAGTATAGTTTTGGTGAGTGTATACACTTGGGAAACACCACCGTGATCAAGATGGAACCTTTACCCTACCCCAAGGCACCCACATGCCCATTTGCTATCAGTAACCCACCCCAGTCCCAGACCTGGGGAACCACTGACCTGCTTTCTGCCTCAATTGGTCAGATTTGCCTTTTTTCAGAATCTGAAGTCATTCCGTACTGTATGTACACATTTGTGTCTGGCTTGGCTCCAGATAAAGTTTTTGGGATTCATGAATGTTGTTGCACGTATTAGGAGAGACTCCTTTGTATTGCTGAGTAGTATTCCCCTCTGTGGTTAGACCATGATTTATTTATCCATCTACCTGTTGGTGAACATTTTGGCTGTTTCTAATTCTTGGCCATCATGAATAAAACTGCTGTGAATGTTCCTACAATAATAATTGTCTAAACATATGTTTTTATTTCTTTTGTGTCTTAGTCCGTCGGGCTGCTATAACTAAGAACCACAGCCTGGGTGGCTTATAAACAACAGAAATTTATTTTTCATGGTTCTGGAGGCTGGGAAGTCCAAGATCAAGGTGCCAGTGGATTCAGTGTCTGTTGAGGGCCCATGTCTTGATTCATAGATGGCGGTCTTCTTGCTGTGTTCTCCTAGACATGGCAGAAGGGGCAAGGGAGCTCTCTGGGGTCTCTTTTATAAGGGCACCAATCCCATTCATGCAGGCTCTGCCCTCATGACCTAATCACCTCCGAGGAGGCCCAAAGGCCCTACCTCCAAGTACCATCATATGAGGGATTAGGTTTCAAGGTATGAACCTGGGGAGGACATAAACAGTCAGTCTAGCTTTTTGGGTAAATGAATTGCTGGGCTTAATAATAAATGTATATTTAACTGTATAAAAATTGTTTTCCAAAGTGGTTGATTATATTGTTTCACATTCTCATTAATAATGTATGAGTTCTGGATACTCCAGATCCTCATCAGCACTTGGTATTGTCAGTCTCTTCAATTTAGCCATTCTAGTGAGTGTGTAGTGGTATCTTGTCATTTAATTGTGGTATTTCCCTAATGACTAATAATGTTTGACATCTTTTCATGTGCTCAGTATGGCCATTTGTGGGTTTTCTTTTATGAATAATTTGTTCAAATATTTTGTCTACTTTTTTTTGTTGTTGTTGTTGAGACAGGGTTCTCTGTCGCCCAGGCTGGAGGGCAGTGGAATGAACTCAGCTCATTGCAACCTCTGCCTCCTGGACTCAAGCGATCCTCCCACCTCAGCCCCCCAAGTAGGTGGGACCACAGGCGTGAGCCACCATGCCCTGCTAATTTTTGTATTTTTGGTAGAGATGGGATTTTGCCATGTTGGCCAGGCAAGTTTCAAACTCCTGACATCAAGTGATCCACCCACCTTGGCTTCCCAAAGTGCTGGGATTACAGGCATGAGCCACCGCACCCAGCCCTTATCTGCTATTTTTATCAGGTTGGTTGTCATTATTTTTTAAATGTGGGCATTTTTTATACATTCTGGAAGCTAGTACTTTGTTAAATATATAGTATTGTAAATATTTTCCTGCAGTCCGTAGCTTGCCTTTTTTATTTTCTTAATGCTACCTAAGAGCAGAATTTTTTTTTTTTTTTTTTTTTTGGAGATGGAATCTCGCTCTGTCACCCAGGCTGGAGTGCAGTGGCGCGATCTCGGCTCACTGCAGCCCTGCCTCCTGGGTTTAAGCAATTCTCCTGCCTCAACCTCCTGAGTAGCTGGGACTACAGGCACGTGCTGCCATGCTCTGCTCATTTTTTTGTATTTTTAGTAGAGACGGGGTTTCACCATGTTGGCCAGGATGGTCTTGATCTCCTGACCTCGTGACCTGCTCGCCTCGGCCTCCCAAAGTGCTGGGATTACAGGCGTGAGCCACCTGGCCCGGCCGAACAGAAATTTTTATTTTGGTAAAGTTTGATTTATCAGTTTTTGGTTTTTGTGATTCATGCTTTTTGTGCCATAAGATATCTTTGCCTATCCCAATGTTGCAAAGATTTTCTTCCAAATGTTGGATAGTTTTAGCTTTTACACTTATGTTGCTGATGATGAATTTCAAGTTAATTTTTGGGTATGGTGTGAGGGGCTGAGGTTCCTTTTTTTTGGGTGGGTGGGGGGAACAGGGTCTCACTGTGTGTTGCCTAGACTGGAGTGCAAGTGACGTGATCTCAGCTCACTGCAACCTCTACCTTCCAGACTCAAGCAATCCTCCCACCTCAGCCTCCTAAGTAGCTGGGACTACAGATGCGTGCCACCATGCCTGGCTAATTTTTTTTTTTTTTTTTTTGAGATGGAGTCTTGCTCTTTCGCCCAGGCAGGACTGCAGTGGCACTATCTCGGCTCACTGCAACCTCTGCCTCCCGGGTTCACGCCATTCTCTTGCCTCAGCCTCCCGAGTAGCTGGGACTGCAGGCGCCCGCCACCGCGCCCGGCTAGCCTGGCTAATTTTTGTTTTGTTTTGTTTTATTGTTTTTCTTTGTTTTTTTGTAGAGACAGGCTTTTGCCATGTTGTTCAGACTGTTCCTGAACTCATGGACTCAAGCCGTTCGTTTGCCAAAGTGCTGGGATTACAGGAATGAGTCACCATGACTGGCCCTTTTTTCTTTTCTTTCTTTTTTTTTGAAATGGCTATCTGGTCGTACCAGTACCATTTGCTTTAAAAAAAGCCATTTTTTCTTCATTATTTTACTTTGGTGCCTAAATAAAGAAAATCAGTGGACTATTGTTGTATAAGAAAGAATTTGGCTTTTGTCAGGAAACAGTGACTGTTAAAGAGAAGTGGTGGGGCTGTGGGTTCTCTGGGGAGAGAGAAATCTCTGGGTCAGGGTGTCAGTAGAGGTCTCAGGGAGAAGGTGACTCTGAGCTGGCTTCCTAAGGATAGGCTCAGCTGGGGGCCTTTTAAAAGCTAGAGCCTTGGTGGCATGTGCCTGTAGTCCCAGCTACTTGGGAGGCTGAGGTGGGAGGATCTCTGGAGCCCAAGAGTTGGAGATTACAGTGAGCTATGATTGCACCAGTGCACTCCAGCCTGGGCCACAGAGCGAGGCCTTGTTTCTACCAAAAAAAGAAAAAAAAAAAAAAAAAAGCTGGAGCCACTGGGAGGCAGCAGCGTTGCAGGATGGGAATGAAGCTACCGTGTCCAGTCACTGTGGAGTCTTCAGGAGGCAGGGGCAGCCCTCCCAGGAGCCCTGTGTGTGGTCACTCTGCCCCTCTGTGTCCATCCACCCTGATCCTGCCTCTGTTGACCTGCTCCCCAGCTTACCTTTGTGCTCCAAATGGCTTCCCTGGCCGCCCTGGCTGCAGACCTCCAACGTGGAGTCATGAGTAAGAATCCATTGACAAGCACCCCTGAGATCCTGGGGTACGTGCCACGAGCAGAGCAGGCATCAGGTGACACCCAGGTCCCGGCCTGCCTCGGACACACATGGTGCCCCGGTCCCCAGCCTGAGCCCTGCCCTCTCACTCACCACCCACCCAGCCGGAATTGGCTCTGGCCACTCTGGGAGGGCGGGGTGGGGGTTGCAAGTCCCTTGTTACGCAGGGAGCCCCTCAGTTAGGGAGAGGAGACAGGGTCTCAGGACAGGACCTTGAAGACAAGGAAGGGCAGTGCAGAGAGGGGTGAGAGAGCCAGACTGGGTTTCTAGGGGGTGGTCCAGGGTGGGAGCTGACCTGCCTCTGCTGAGACTGCGTTCCAGGTGTGAGCATTGATGTCTAGCCCATGTAGCTGGAGAGGAGTCACAGCCATGCTCCCCAGCTCCAGCCCACCTCCCCAGACCCCAGACCCAGTGTGGCCTCTCCCCACCTCCCAGAGCATGTGGTCAAGCCCCTCTCCTAGCCCGAATCCCTCCCTCATTTGCTAATTACCAGGACCTACATGTCCCAGCTTCCCAGGGCCAGGGGACAGGGCCCCGCCCATCTGGCAGGCTCAAGTTGGCTGCCTGGCTGCCGGGATCCAGGCGGCGCTCACAAGGATCTGGGCTTGCACAGCCTCCAAAGGGCTGTTGTCCATTCTCTTGTATTTGTTCTCATCCTCTCCTTTCTTGGACCCTCTGAGTCTCTGGTTCCCTCTTGTTGGGACCCAGATCACTCTGTGCCTCAGCTGAATCATTTTTCCCTTCAGTTTACACATATCCACCTAGGGTCCACTACATCCAGAGGCTTCCGCCTCAGTCCTTGTCCTCAGGCTGTGCCCAGGGTTGTGAGGATGGCGGTGGTCCTTACCTTGCAAAACAGTCTCCCAGTGACAACAATGTTCAGGGATAACATCTATGGAGGGCTTTCTATGTATCAGGACCATTCTGAGTATCTTCCAAGTGTTAGCTCCTTTAATCCTGGAAAGGACCCCATGAAATTAGTACTTTTATTACCCCTGTTGTACATATGAGAGACTGAGTAAAAGCCGGTGGCTTGTCCAGGGTCACACAGCTAACTGGAATGGCCAGGAGTAGACCTGGTGACCATGGACCCCAGACCTTGATCACTGCACACGCTGCGTCTGGGACCTCGCCTGGTACCTGAGGTCCGTGGCGCGCTGGTGCTGATCATTCAGAGTGCTCATGGGAAGTGTAGTCTAGAGTCTGTGTGCTTCCTGATCTCCTTGATCTCCATTTTATTGAGGAGGCCTTTAGGCCACCCGAGGGGTCCAGAGTGACCCTGTGGATTAGCAGTGGAGCTCAGCTTGAGCCAGCGCTCTTCAGGGGTCGTGTTCTGCCCCCATTCTCTGGTTCATTCTGCAGGTAGCAGGGAATCATTGAAGATTAGAGAGAATCAAACACCTGGAGAGAGATGACTCTGCCCGGGGAGCCCAGGCTCCTGTCTGGGTGCACACTCCAGGGCTAGATGGTGACTTCTCAGCTACTCTAGCTTCATAGGCTCATAGTGCATGTGAGCACTCATGTGGACACACGTGCACGCGCACACACATGGACACACACACACACACACACACCGCTGTCTTTGGAATCAGACCATGAAAATGCTTCCTCAGAGGCCTAGGGGTGAGGAAGCTGAGGTGAGTTGTGCCTCCAGCTGGATGTGCTGGGATGGGGTGGGAGATGAGGTGGCCACACCTGGGTGGCAGGAACTCTGGGGCAGTGAACCTTCTAACGAACAGATCTGGGATGCTGCCATGAGGAGGAAGAGGGAGTCAGCAGCCATGCCTGCCAATGCCTCCTAGCGCATTTGTCCATGGTTAGCGGATAATTATTGTGTCCCTATGGGTCCCAAGGTGTATTATTTTTTTTTTGCTCTTATAATAAATCAACACAAATTTTTAGCAGCTTCAAACAACACGCATTTATTATCTCACAGTTTCTGTGGGTCAGTAGTCCGGCGTGACATGACTAGGTCTTCTGTGTAAGGACTCGCATGGCCAAAGTCAAGGTATCTGAAGGGACAAGGGAAAAATCCACTTCCAAGTTCAATCTGGTTGTGAGCAGAATTCAGTTCCTTGTGGTTGTACCATGAGGTCTCTGGTCCCCTTCATCTTCAAAGCCGGTAATGGACATCGAGTGTTTCTCTTGCTTGGAATCTGGCACTCTAGCTGGAGAAAATTATCTGCTTTTAAGAGTTCATGTGATTAGATTGGGTGTACCCAGATGCTCCATGCTAATCTCCCTATTATGCACAGATGCATAATCCTAATTGCATCTGTGAAGTGCTTTTTGCCAGGTAACATGGCATACTTGTAGGTTCCAGGGATTAGTGCTTGTCCTCCCCCTGCTATTCTTTAGTGGGCAGGGGGTCATCTGCCTACCACGGAGGTAAGGGGTCAGGAGGTATGCATACAGCAATGCCCAAAAAGAGACTGTCCCCACTGGGATGGAGTTTACCGCCTAGACATGCAGTCTTAACTCAGAAATATGGAGATAGCCTCGAAGGACAGGACAGGTACTGGGCACGTGTGGGAATGGACCAAGCCAGGTGCTCCGGGGGCTTTCCCAAGGAACTAAGGCTGAGCCAAGAACTGAAGGATGAGTTGGAGTCAGATGAGGGAAAATGTGGGCAAACTGGATTTCAGAACCAACCCCCAACCCTGGAGCCAGGAGCCATGGTACTGAAGGACAGTGCGCCATAACTCAGAGAACCAGGGAGGGTTGGCGGAGGCTCACAGGGACCGGGTTACCCCAGGGCCTTGTGACAGTACTACCCCTAGTATCAGAGGAGACTGTCATTGGCATTTAGGCCACTTGGTGCTCATAACACCTCTATGTCAGGTGAACACTATTGTCATCCCCAAATTACAGATGGGGAAAGTGAGCCAAATGTCCATGCTAGTAAGAGGCAAATCATATCACTTCTTTGGGTACCCTTCTAGAAGGATGAGGCTGACTGCCACTGGAAACAGCTGGGGAGGGTACAAGGAGATGACAAGTGGCTCAGAGGCTGTCCTGGCTATAAGAATTAAAGAGGAAAGAAACACCAAGGGTGGCTCGACAGTCAACAAGGACAGGTTTATTTTGGAAAACAAACTTGAGAGGGGCTTCTGGCCAAGTTAGGTCAGAGCCACACTCTCTTACAAACTAAGGATATTTAAGGGTTTTGGAGGGGGTTCTTATCATAGGTTCTGAATGTTTCTGTGTGAGGGAAAGTTTATTGCGGGGATGGAATGTCTCTGGTCAGAAGGGAGGCTGTCTCCGGGTTGGCATGTTTCTGGTCAGAGAAGGGTTTATCTTAGGGTTGGAATGTTTCTGGTTATGCTGACATTAGCTATTAGGCTGATATTTTCGGGCTGGATTTAGGCGGCTTTTAATTAAGGGGGAACTTAGAATGGTGGTGTTTGTTCAAGATGGCAATGCTCCTGCTCCGTCACTGGCCAGGTAAGGCAACCCTTTGTTATGGTAACAACCTGAGATTGGCAGGGGCTCACCTCCAGGGGCAGCTCATGTGCTTGCTGGCGAGGCTGCACCTTGTCATTCAGGTTCACAGGGCACAGGTCAACCAGGCCCTGGCTCTTCAGTCTTCTGCCTGGAGTGACTTATGTAATTCTGCTCAGCTTTCATAGGGCACAGGGAGTCGGGGCTAACTCTGCTGCCTGGGGCTGGAAACAGACTCCTCCCTTGAGGAGCAGCAGTCCACCATAGGGAAGTCACAGTGGTCCAGGCCAAAGGGGATGCAGGTAGTGTAGACTAGGCGGTAGTTCAGGGAATGGAGAGAAGTGGGAATAAAGGGATAGTGAAAGGAAGCATATTTTACTGGCAGGTGATGAGGTGTAGGAGGACAAGTCATACATTTGGACTTTACAGAGCAGTGGACACTCAGTCAGCTGCTGTCAGCGCCTGGGACTTAGGGGAGTGCCCCTGGCTGGAGACATGGTATGGAGTGCCATCAGTTAGGGAGCCCTGGGCACAGGTAAGAGAAGGTGTGACACCAGGAGGGAAAGAGTCTGGGGCCCAGCTGCAGGAACCAATACCCATAGGCTATTTGTATAAATGGGCCATGGGGCCTCCCAGCTGGAGGCTGGCTGGTGCCACGAGGGTCCCACAGGCATGGGTGTCCTTCCTATATCACATGGCCTTCACTGAGACTGGTATATGGATTGCACCTATCAGAGACCAAGGACAGGACCTCCCTGGAAATCTCTGAGGACCTGGCCTGTGATCCAGTTGCTGCCTTGTCCTCTTCCTGCTATGTCATGGCTTATCTTCTTTCACCCATTCATTCATTCATTCATTCAGCAGTATTAGTCAATGTCTCTTGTATGCCTGGCACCTGCTAGATGGTCCCCGAGTTTACCATTAGTGGAAAA
The DNA here is from genome assembly GCF_000001405.40 of Homo sapiens. NCBI lineage: Eukaryota > Metazoa > Chordata > Mammalia > Primates > Hominidae > Homo > Homo sapiens. The sequence goes on from NT_187633.1 coordinate 130,020, forward strand.
GACATTTAAGAAATTCACCAAGGGCTCTATGAGAGGCCATACACGGTGGACCTGACTAGGGTGTGGCTTCCCTGAGGAGCTGAAGTTGCCCAGAGGCCCAGAGAAGGGGAGCTGAGCACGTTTGAACCACTGAACCTGCTCTGGACCTCGCCTCCTTCCCTTCGGTGCCTCCCAGCATCCTATCCTCTTTAAAGAGCAGGGGTTCAGGGAAGTTCCCTGGATGGTGATTCGCAGGGGCAGCTCCCCTCTCACCTGCCGCGATGACTACCCCGCCCCATCTCAAACACACAAGCTCACGCATGCGGGACTGGAGCCCTTGAGGACATGTGGCCCAAAGACAGGAGGTACAGGGGCTCAGTGCGTGCAGTGGAATGAACTGGGCTTCATCTCTGGAAGGGTAAGGGGCCATCTTCCGGGTTCACCGCCGCATCCCCACCCCCGGCACAGCGCCTCCTGGCGACTAACATCGGTGACTTAGTGAAAGGACTAAGAAAGACCCGAGGCGAGGCCGGAACAGGCCGATTTCTAGCCGCCAAGTGGAGAACAGGTTGGAGCGGTGCGCCGGGCTTAGCGGCGGTTGCTGGAGGAACGGGCGGAGTCGCCCAGGGTCCTGCCCTGCGGGGGTCGAGCCGAGGCAGGCGGTGACTTCCCCACTCGGGGCGGAGCCGCAGCCTCGCGGGGGCGGGGCCTGGCGCCGGCGGTGGCGTCACAAAAGGCGGGACCACAGTGGTGTCCGAGAAGTCAGGCACGTAGCTCAGCGGCGGCCGCGGCGCGTGCGTCTGTGCCTCTGCGCGGGTCTCCTGGTCCTTCTGCCATCATGCCGATGTTCATCGTAAACACCAACGTGCCCCGCGCCTCCGTGCCGGACGGGTTCCTCTCCGAGCTCACCCAGCAGCTGGCGCAGGCCACCGGCAAGCCCCCCCAGGTTTGCCGGGAGGGGACAGGAAGAGGGGGGTGCCCACCGGACGAGGGGTTCCGCGCTGGGAGCTGGGGAGGCGACTCCTGAACGGAGCTGGGGGGCGGGGCGGGGGGAGGACGGTGGCTCGGGCCCGAAGTGGACGTTCGGGGCCCGACGAGGTCGCTGGGGCGGGCTGACCGCGCCCTTTCCTCGCAGTACATCGCGGTGCACGTGGTCCCGGACCAGCTCATGGCCTTCGGCGGCTCCAGCGAGCCGTGCGCGCTCTGCAGCCTGCACAGCATCGGCAAGATCGGCGGCGCGCAGAACCGCTCCTACAGCAAGCTGCTGTGCGGCCTGCTGGCCGAGCGCCTGCGCATCAGCCCGGACAGGTACGCGGAGTCGCGGAGGGGCGGGGGAGGGGCGGCGGCGCGCGGCCAGGCCCGGGACTGAGCCACCCGCTGAGTCCGGCCTCCTCCCCCCGCAGGGTCTACATCAACTATTACGACATGAACGCGGCCAATGTGGGCTGGAACAACTCCACCTTCGCCTAAGAGCCGCAGGGACCCACGCTGTCTGCGCTGGCTCCACCCGGGAACCCGCCGCACGCTGTGTTCTAGGCCCGCCCACCCCAACCTTCTGGTGGGGAGAAATAAACGGTTTAGAGACTAGGAGTGCCTCGGGGTTCCTTGGCTTGCGGGAGGAATTGGTGCAGAGCCGGGATATTGGGGAGCGAGGTCGGGAACGGTGTTGGGGGCGGGGGTCAGGGCCGGGTTGCTCTCCTCCGAACCTGCTGTTCGGGAGCCCTTTTGTCCAGCCTGTCCCTCCTACGCTCCTAACAGAGGAGCCCCAGTGTCTTTCCATTCTATGGCGTACGAAGGGATGAGGAGAAGTTGGCACTCTGCCCTGGGCTGCAGACTCGGGATCTAAGGCGCTCTGCCCGCCGGAATCCGTTGTACCTAGGGCCACCACGTGGGGTGCTGGAGGTGAGCCGACCACGGAAGAGGGGGAGGAGGAGTTGGAGTTGGGAGGAGTCCGAGGTCTTCTAGGCCTAGACCTTTCTCTCAGCCCCACCTTCCCCAGCCTTCTTGTTGGGCAGAGGGTAGCCAGAGGACAGAAAGATCCCACCCAGAGCCACTCACTGCCATCCACTTTGTTAGGTGACTTCAGGAGAGTTTTCAGGCGGGTGGGTGGGGGAGGTGCAGAGTTCTTGGTCATACCGCCCCGTCCACCCCCGAACCCCACGCCTTGGGTTCTGCTCCCCTCAGACACCCACCAAGCCTCCGCCACAGCAGTTCCCTGAGGAAATTGGGCGTGGGGTTTCCATTGGGACCGTTCGTGTTCTGTGGTGCCACAGACATGTCTGTAAAACCTTCAGTTATGTTTGGGCGCAGTGGCACAAGCCTGTGATCCCGGCACTTTGGGAGGTGGAGGTGAGTGGAGTGTGACTCCTCTGCTTCTCTCAGTCTCCAGCCACATCTCGTCTCCAGTCCCCTGTTCACTCGGTCATCCCGCGCAGTACTGGACAGCGAGCTCTCCTTCCAGAAGAGCAATGGGGCTGGGTGGGGTGAAGATTAGGAAGAGGAAGGAGAATAGAAGCTCCAGGGAGTCTGGAAGGGTGGCACCCATCTTGGGATGGGGCACCCCTTCCATGAAGGTCTCTAAAGCAAGGCCCTCCTCAGCTTACTCCCTGCCAGCCGAGGGCCTCAGTCTCATTGTTAACTCAGTGAGAGGGCGGTGGAGCCCCTCGTCTACCTCCCAGCTGGGGGAGACATGGGGGGCATGGGATGGCTCCAGCTGTAGCGGGAAGGTCCCACTCCTCTCAGCCTGGCTTTCAGGCTTGAGGTTTCCTTCTTGGATCTGAGTACCTGTGGTGTAACAGGCACCCTCCTCGGCCCTGGCCTTTATCACATCCCCTCAGCTCCTGGGTGCCCCCAGCCCCAGCCTCCCAAGGCCTGAGGCTGAGCTTTGCCCAGGACCCCCAGTTCCCCCCACAACAAACTCTTTCTGCCTCGGGCCCCACACCCCACCAAGCCCTGGCTGGCCCCCTGGCTCCCACCCCGCCTCAGCGGTCTTTGCTCTCGGCTGTGTCACAGATAGGGAGAGCAGGGGCGCAGTGCCCCATGAGCATCTAATGCAACTCCCTCATTTCACAGATGAGGACACTGACCCCAGGATCCAGGGCATGGTCATACACTCAATGCCATGCCCCCTGCAAGGGCCCTGTGGCCTCACATGAGCAAGTTAGACTCTGAGGGCCGAGGAGATGGGCAGGGCAGGCTGGGCACCTGCTGTGTGAGGGCAGGAGGGTTGGTGAGAGCTGTCCTCCAAAAGCAGGTGAGTGTCTGAGGTTCTGTGGCCCCCTGGGGGCATCCACAAGGTCATGGGTCCTTGGACTCCAGGAACAAAGGGGGTGTCTGTGGGTCAGGGACCTATCCGCTTGCCCTGCCCAAAGTGTTCCTAAGTCCCCTGGGACTAATAACCGGCCTGCCTGCTGGGGAGGTCAGCTGCTACATCCCACCTTCAAGCCACACCTGCCCCCATTGACCCCCATCCCATGGCCAGCTCCATTTCCTCCAAAGCACAGGCTCCACTGCCCACCAGGTGGTGGGTCTCTTCCTCAAACCCCTGTTTGACTGCCCCAGGACCTGCAGGGTCAGCCTTGGAAATGCATTTCCAAGTAACGCCACAAACTCTGAGGTACAGGACAGACAGGTGTGGGGTCCATCTGCCTGTTCTCCATCACTCTGGTGGTACTATGTCATCTGCTGAGAAAGACCCCCGGCCTACAGGGTGACCCTCACTCTCCTCAGGGCCACTGTTTGCAACAGACAGACAGCCTGGCAGGCCTTGAACCTCATTTTGTAGGTTCAAGGCCTGTCCCCCATCTGTCCACTATAAGCCTCACACACACCATTCTTCTGGGATACCTTCCCTGAGGCCACCTGGTCAACACCCACAGGCCCCTTTGCTTCAGCCCAGGTCCTGTTAGCTGAGGTTTCCATTTCTGGACATAGCTCCACCCAGTTCTGTGATCCGTTGGGCTGGTGGCACCAGGGGCCCCTCGGTACTTGTCCATTCTGGACAGCCCAGCAATGTAGGCTTTTCCCAAGACTTCCCACCCTGCATGTGTCCCACCTCATCCCCTCCAGGAATTTTGCTTTGTTGCAGAGACTCCCTCCCCACCACCCCCCACCGCCAGCCTCCAGACCCCACTCCCTTCTGGGAGCCCGATTCCAGCAAGATCAGGATCAGGCTCCCACTCTGCTCCTTCTACTGGCCTCAGTTTTTCCCATCTGTGAAATGAAGGGATTCATCAGAAGTCCTTCCCACATACTCAATCACGGAGGCATGACAGGGACATCTCACATCCTCAGAGGCACGGTTAATCCAAGGAATGCCATGGGAAGGGAGGAGACAGCAGGTGGCCTGTGCCTGCACTCAGGTCTTGATAAATTGTGAAATCTCTCCCTCACCCCTTCCTCGGAGGGCACTATTGTTCCTGATGTGCCAGCCTTGATGGCAGTGGATAGGGAGGCAGGGACAGAGACAATGAGGAAGTGTGGTTAGGTATCTACTTAGAAGTCTCCAGATGGAGCCGGGAAGTGCTAGGAGGCCAGTGAGGCCAGTCTGTGCAGCAGGGCAAACGAGTGGTATCCTGCTGGGATGCAACTCAAATGCCTTCACTGGGAACTGCTCCCCCACCAGCCCCACACTGAAGGGCTGGCTCTACCACTCACAGGAGCTGGCAGGGCAGGCAATGAGACAACCCTACTGCCTCTAATGCAGTAGATAAAATTAATGCAGGGCCAACCCTCATATCAGAGTGGTTTTTCAGTTACCTGGACAAGTGCCAAGGGAGGGGCCCCTGGGGCCACCAGCCCAAAGACCACAGAACTGAGTGGAGCTCTCTATGTGCAGGAGACACACACAGAGATCAACTGATCCTTGGAGCTTGGGAGATTTCCAGGATTTCTGGGCCACTGACACTGTTTCTATAAAGCCCTCTTTGGCCATCTCAGTTCCTTTCCAGGCTAAGCAGTGAAAGCCAAGTCTTAGTTCTCCAGGCCTGGGCCTTCCTGAGTAATTTACAGGACTGGTGTGAGGGACAATGTCAACCCACCAGCCAACTGCCCAGATTTCCCCTCCTGGCGAGTGAGGCCAAGCCACTTCATTTCTATGTTTGAAGCCCATGTAAAAGAAACAGAGATTGTCAGTTTCAGAAACCGACTCTGTCCCTTCAGTCCTGGAACCTCAGGCCTCATCTGGTGACTATGGGGTCTCAACTTACAGTTTAGCTCTCAAAACAGCCAGACAGAGCACCAAATTGAAAGGCTACAAATGAGAAGTATCGTCCCCACCGCCCCAGTGACTTGGCTTCTTGCGTACCTAGTTCTCTTCTCAGTTTAATAGGTAATAGATTTATATGGCTCAAATTCAAAGCATGCCCAGGGGCTCCAGAGAGAAGGCTCCCTCCTGTTGCCTCCCTCCACAGGGTAATCCTTTCTCAAATTCACTAGATCACTGCATCCAGACAGGGAGACACTGGATCCCTCGTTCATCATGGCTGCGTTCTTACCCCTCCCTAACTCCTTCCCAAACATAGCTACATCCCTTCCACTGTTATATAACCCTCCAATTTTGGCCGGTCAGGGAGATGGATTCAAGACTTATCTCCCATTCTCCTTGGCTGCAGCACCTGAATAAAGCCCTTCCTCCCGGCAGTGATTGGCTGTGCAGCATGCAATGGGACCCAGACAAAACCCCTGGTGTTTCAGTAACACATTCAGACTATGGAACAGATTAACCCCGGCTCCCTAGAATTTGTTTTCTGAAGAACAAACAAACAAGGCAATAATGTCTTATGAAAAGACATCAGTAACCTTAAGCCTGTAAACCCCATCCATCTGTAGGGCACCCCATCTCACAGCAAAGCATGGGTGACAGCTGTGTGCTGAGAAGAGTCGGAAAAGGAGCCATGCTTCCAAGAATGTCTCCCTCATAACATGATGAGATGAGTCCTTAGTGAATTGCCAACCAAAACAAAAAACACAGCTGCTAAAAAAGAAGGTTCCTCCTTTGGAATCCTTGTACTACCATATCAAAATATTGAGAAGGAGCATCTCTTGTATTGACAGTAAGGATGCTGATGACTATTAGTGAATAAAAAGCCAGAATGAAGGACATGAACTTACACACATTTAACATTTCGGCACAGGTCAAGTAACTACAATAACCTATATACAAGACAAACAAGACAAAGTATATTTAGAATACATGCGATGAGTATTGATGCAGAAATGGACATTTCTCAGAATAAGATATGACTTTACAGATACCATACAGAGAATATGATTTCATGCAGATGGAGAAGATGTGGTGGGAGTTGTGGGAGAGCAATAGAAAATACATTTCCTGGCTGGGTGCAGTAGCTCACATCTGTAATCCCAGCACTTTGGGATGCCAAGGCCAGGAGTTCAAGACCAGCCTGAGCAACGTGGTGAGACCCTGGTCTATATAAAATATATTTTTAAAAAGTTTCCTGTACCTAGAAACAAATCCAAGATGTACTCTACAGAGAACCTCTACAGAGAAAACTAACACCCTGAACGTTATTGGAGAACTAAATAAATGAAGAGACTGACCATGTCTCTGTGTTGGGAACAGGCCCCCCAAAATCTGGCCATAAACTGGCCCCAAAACCGGCCATAAACAATATCTCTGCAGCACTGTGACATGTTCATGATGGCCATAACACCCATGCTGGAAGGTTGTCGGTTTACCAGAATGAGGGCAAGGAACACCTGGCCCACCCAGGGCGGAAAACTGCTTAAAGGCATTCTTAAACTACAAACAATAGCATGAGTGATCTGTGCCTTAAGGACATGTTCCTGCTGCAGATAACTAGCCCAACCCATCCCTTTATTTTAGCCCATCCCTTTGTTTCCCATAAGGTATACTTTTAGTTAATCTAATATCTATCAATGCTAATGACTGGCTTGCTGTTAATAAATACGTGGGTAAATCTCTGTTTGGGGCTCTCAGCTCTGAAGGCTGTGAGACCCCTGATTTCCCACTTCACACCTCTATATTTCTGTGTGTGTGTCTTTAATTCCTCTAGCGCCGCTGGGTTAGGGTCTCCCCGATCGAGTTGGTCTCAGCATCTCTGTACTGGAGGCAATATTGTGCTCGTAACAGTTCTGTCTGGTTGATGATTCAGCACAGTCCCAATCAAAATTCTAACAGATTTTTCTATGGGAATTGACAACCTAATTCTAACATTTATATGAGACTCTAAATGACCAAGAAGAGTCAAAACATTTTCTTGTAGAAGGCAAGGTGTGAGGATTTGCTTTTTCAATGTTAAGACACATGATCAAGCTACACAATTAAGGCAAAGTGGAATCAGAACATGGCAGACAACAGACCAATGGAAAAAAGAGCAATCCAGAAACAGACCTCTCCACACACATGGACACAATATCAGACTGGGGGAGCATTGAAATCCACATGAAAAGAAGAACTCATTCAACTAGGGGTGCTGGGCAGCTGGCTACCATGTAAGGAGAAACATCAAACTGGGCTCCTATTTAACTCCCACACAAAAGTCAGTTCTACATAGATTACAGCCATAAAGAAAAGGCCACAAAGATCTTAAAAGATGGTGTAGAAGAATATCATCTTTATGATTTAAGTAAGATAAAATGAGTACATACAATAAGGAAAGATTGACACACTATTAGTGAGACACCGTAAGAATGAAAGACATGCTACAATTTCTGCAACTTATCTTAATGCAAGTGAGCCCCAAAACTGGGGCTCAGCCTGAGAGCGTTCTTGGCTTTGCACAGGAAATAATTTGAGAGTGACCCAACAGAAAAGAGTGAAAGCAAAGCAAGTTTATTAGAGCAACAGAGTACAGAAAAGTGGGTTTCATAGAGCATCCATACAGGTGGATGGGGTTTACAGGGCTACCCCATAGGCAGAGCAGCACTCCTGGACTACCAGCTATCTATATGTATAGCTACTTCTTATTATATGCTAAATAAGGGGCAGGTTATTCATGAATTTTCTAGCAAAGGGATCCGGAGTTCCTGGAACTGAGGGTTCCTCCCCCTTTTAAATCACATAAGATAACTTTTGGGTATTGCCGTGGCATGTGTAAACTGTCATGGTGCTGGTGGGAATGTCTTTTAGCATGCATTATCACTAGCATATAATGAGCAGTGAGGGACAAAAGTGAGGTCACTTTTGTTGCCATCTTGGTTCCAGCTGGTTTCAGCTGATTTCTTCACTGCATCCTGTTCCGACCAGATTCTGTTTTGATCAGCGGGATCATGACCAAGGTCTTGACCAGTGCTTGGAAAACAAGTTCTGCTGATCTCCTATCTCAACATTACATTATTAGGAAACCCTATTTAAAAAAATGAGCAAAGGACTTTAGAAGCCACTTCACAAAACAGAATATCCAATGGAAAAGTTGTTCATCGTCAGTAGAAATCAGGGAAATAAGAACCACCATGACACACCACTACTAACCTCCTCAGCTGTAACGTGCCCACAATCCCACTCCTCGATATATTTATCCCGGAGAAACTTGTATCTCGAAGCAACCCAATGTCCATCAATAATTGGATAAATTATGCTTGTTCATTCATGGAATATTCAACAGCAGTGAAATGAACAAGCTATAGGTACAAATATCACCACGGTCAAATCTCATAAACATATTGAGCAAAAGCCACAAGATATATATATATAATGCAGTTCCATTTATATAAAGTTTGAAAACAAGGACCCCCAAACTGTACTGTTCAGAGGACCACGTGTAGGTGGGAAAATTGTGATGAAAGCCAAGAAATGATTTCTATCACTGTCAGGACAGCGGTCCCACTGGCCAGGGGCATTTGGGAGGTGGCAGGGTGCTGCAGTATTTTTCTCTCTGTTCTTACAAGTGCCTATATATATTTATTAAACCTTATGCATTTATGCATTTTTCCATATCTCATACTCCCTGATACAAAAGTTAACATGCACAGTAGAAGGGAGTGAAGAGGAAGTGAAGAGCACCACCACCAGGCCGACCGTTGGGTACCGTGCCATGCAGAAGCACTGCCCAACTGCCCCATCCCACTAAGACCTTGCCAGACACTGGCCCATACGGAGGGCTGTTCCCACTTTGTTGGCCTCTTCCCCAGCCCACCCCCAGCCTCCCTGAGCTTCCCACCACAGTGTTTCTGCTGGGAGTGGGGGCCGTTCTTCCTCACCTCCTTGTTTCCCCATGAGGTGCTTATGTCCCTAAACAAGCACCTCCTTAGCGCCCCCCGTCTAGCTCAGTCTTTCTGGGCCCTGCTTTGCTGTGTGCTCCCTGCCTTCTGGCATGTGCTATGACCCTCACAACTGTGGTGGAGGCCCCAGGATTGGAATGGGAAGAAAGGCGTGTTCTATTTAAGCCCCCTTAAATCCAGCAGAGGCTTTGAGCTTTGAGTCCTCAAGTAACCACATAAAGTCTGAGGCTTTGGGGATGCCTGGTGTGTGCGCGGGGGCTTCACAGGGACCACACTGGCTTCTGGCCTTGGCAGTTCCCCACAGAGCTTTGGAGCCACGAGCTGATCCTTACAGTCTTAGGGTTGGCTTTTAACTAGTGGCCCAGGCCGGAGGTTCCATCTTGCTGGTATAAAGTAAGGTCCATGTGGGGATATGACCTTTGGCAACTCAGGGCAGTGCTTTGGGGATGGTCACAGCTCAGAGCCGTGTTCTCTGACTCCTGCACGGGCCTCCTATTAATCCAAAGAGAGACAGTGCAGAGGAGGCTACAGAAGGGTCCCAACCTCTGAGGCATGAATGGAGGAGGGCAGGCCCAGGCTTGCTGCCTTTACTGTGTTCTCAGCCAGGTCTGAGATCACCACTTCCAACTGCGAAGGCAGCAAGGGGCCGGTGCAACCTGGTATGAGTCTTGTACCACCCACAGTGGAGTTGTGCCAGATGAGCTGTCCTCAAAGCCTCCTGCCAGAACAGGGACTGGGGAGGGTCCCTCCTGAGCCCACGAAACACATCCCTAGGTCTGCTGAGTTAGTCCCCTTGTGCGGCTCAGCTTGGCTCTCGATTTGTGCCTTACATACATTTTGTTTTAATTTGTTGTTTCTTTTTAGAGACAGGGTCTCTCCCTGTTGCCCATGCTGCAATGCAGTGGTGCAATCAAGCTCACAGTAACCTTGAACTCCTGGGATTAAGCCATCTTCCCGCCACAGCTTCTTGAGTGGCTGAGACTACAGTTTTGTGCCACCATGCCCAGCTAATTATATTTTTATTTTTGTAGAGACAGGATTTCACTAGGTTCCCCAGGCTGGCCCTAAGTGATCTTCCCGCCTTGGCATCCCAGAATATTACAGGGATCACAGGTATGAGCCACCGTGCCTGGCTATTACGTACATTTTGACCCAGGAATTGGGAGACTAAAGTCGTGGCTTTGCCCACAGAAAGGTAAGAGTTTGTTAATGGACAACAGCATTAAAAGGAATCAGGGCCCTTCAGAGAATATGCTATTTTCTTGGGTTGAGATAGAGAAACAATGAAATCAATACGCATCCAAAGCTAGCAAGGGCCATACAAATGGCTTGTGCTGAGAACCGTCTGTCCCAGGGAATTGGGTTTACTTGGGAGATCCAGAAGGAACTGGAATGGTTTGAAAAACACACCACAGTCTTACCCTTAGAATGGGAGCAGTGGTGTCAGGAGGCAGGCTGTGCAGAGATGAGGGATCATGGGACCCTGGAGTGGGCCAGACCAACTTAGGGGACAGGAAAGCTCCCTGATGTGAGGGGAGGGCAGACGTTGGGAACAGACAAGGTCACCACCAGGGAACCAGGTGACCCAGAACACTCTTGAGGGGGGGCCATTCAATGCTGCAGACAGCAACTCCGTAAGAATCAGAAGCCATTCCATGAGCCAGGGCAGCCCTCAGAGGCTGTAGGGAATTTGGGCAAATTAAAGGACAGAAGATCAGCATCAAACATTGAAAATATTTTAGGTATACCTGGGGACAGCATAGTTACTGTGGGTGGGTGTCTGGGGTTGCTCAGGACCTAAGGGAATGCATTTTTTAAATGTAGGGATTAGGTGTCAAGGAGGGCTCAGTGGAGTCCTCCCTGAGGAGAGCACAGCCAGTCAGGAGAGAGGGGCTGACGGCAGGGAGGCTGATGGCCATGGCCGCCATCTCTTGGGCGCAGCTGTGGGACTGTTTCAACAGCAATTCTTGTGGCAAACCTGGGATTGCCTGGTTTTGTTTTCTGTTGCCAGGGGAGACCCCCAAGTGACAAAATCTAGAGGAACAGATCAGAAAAAGTAAATATATGGGCCGGAAAGCAAAGAGAAAGTAAAAGGAGGGAAGGCACTGGGGTTGAACACAAATGACCAGCCCTGTGTGTGAAGACTGCCAGCAGCCAGCACAACTGCCAGGGCCCCAGCTGAGCCATGCTGGGGATGCAAGCCAGCAGTCGCATGAGGAAGCACAGCTGTGGACATCTGTCCCCAACTGCTGACAACTGTGCTGCAGAAACAGTGCTGCTCAAGACTGGGAACATCCCCAGTGGAGGACAGCTAGTGTCCTGAGAGCCAGTGGGACACAGCCACTGCTCCCTGGTGCTCAGCTCAGCAACCTGCTGGGCTGTGCTGCACTGACTGGGGCAGGATCTCTTAGGACTGAAGACATCCATGCAATGGGCATACAGAGGGAAATGGAAATGATGAGATTTCACACATATGAAAAGGAGAAGGTATTATAAATAAGACCCAGGCAGGTGATGACTGCTTGTACAGATACGCTCAGGGAGGAGGACAGCAGAAATTGCTTCCTGCTCCACCCCAGCGGGGTCGCCAGGGCTAATGCTAACCCTCCACCTGGTTAGATATGCTGTGGGGTCTAGGGTTTGTCTTCCCTGTCTACTCTCTTTCCATCAGCTGCCAGGGCATTCCTGCTGGAGTACTGAGGTAGCAGGAAGAGAGGGCTACATGGGGCTGGGTCCGGGATCCTGGAGACATCTCATGGCCTGCATGCTGCTCTAAGGACTTCCCTGTGGTTGGCGAGCAGGAGGCTGAGGCTATCACCATCTGCTCATTCCTAGTAACTCTGGGTCTTTTAAAACTGGAGCACATGGCAGGCTAGTGAAAATGCTGAGATGTGGAGAGAAGGATCTCACTTTCCAGGACACCCAGCCCTCCCGTGCCTACTGGGCCACTTTGCTCACTGGGTGAGCACAGAGCCTCGGGGAGGAGGTTAACACCACTGGGCTCTGACGGATCCCTGGGCTCTCTTTGATTGCTTTGGGCTTGAATCCTTTGACCTTAAGACTTTTTTTTCCCTTTGGACTTTAACCTAAAAGGACAAGGGAACTTAATTTTTTGACTTGAATTTGACCCTAGGAAATTTATGAAAGACATTTCTAGGTTGACTTTTTATCTGGGTATCTGGCATCTTATATATCTGCAGAACCTCTGACTCAAATTTGAACTTTGAGGTTGGACCTAATTTAGGATGGGAAAGTAGGAAGAGTAGTAAAAGAATGTGTCGTCTGGAGTCCAGGCTACCCTTGGAATTAAATAGCATTGAATGATGACCCATTCCAAGTCCTGGGTGGGGGGAATCTATGCTGCCCCGAGGTCTCCAAGGGGGAGTGGATAACACAGGGGCAACTGGGCTTAGCAAGTAGCAGCAATATCGCTGACCCCTGAGTTCAGGAGCAGGGGGCAGTTTCAACTCGGCTCCTTGGGTCTTCCCTTGGGATTTGGCCACTTTGCCATGTGGGTGTCCAGCAGTGCCCTCTAATCTGGGGTGAAGCAGAGCAGCCTGCCCAACTTGTGAAGGTCTCTCTCCACCACCCCAGACCCCTAGGAACTCCCAACTGACTGCTGATATCAGACCTCCTGCCTCTGTCTGGGCCCTAAGGAAGTGGTGTCCTATGTGGTCCCCACCCTACTCTGGGACTCCTCCCTCCTTTTTATCCCCAATGCTACAGTCAGCCTTGGTATCACTCCCGATTTCCACAGGCCTGTCCCAGAACCCCTTACACCTGTTTTCTCTTCTGGAAGTGAACCCTGAGCTAACATTTTAGGTAATTTTTTTTAAGGACCCACTCTGTCCATATTGCAAGAGGCAGAATATGTTCTGATAGCGGAGGCCATGGGGAGCGGGAGAGGGAAGAGGAGAGCTTACAACAGATATCACCCACTGTCCATGCTGTGAGCCTGCGGTCCCCTGCTGCTGGGGCCTCTGCAGGGAGTTGGTGAGCCTGATCCCTGGACCTAGAGACTGAAGTGAGGCTTTGCAGTCCCTCGCTGAGTGAGACCCCTTGCTGATCCCTGCCTGGTGGGCTCCCAAGGCCCCCCTGTTGCAGCCCCTGCTGAGCATCCTCCTGCATGCACTTTCCAACCTTGGGGGACCCTTCTCCTGGTCCCCCCAGCCTTAGCTGGTTCTCTTCCCTGAAGGCCCCCGGAGGCGTAGGCTGGGCTACCCCAGCAGCGGGGGCCTGGCTATGTGGGGAAAAGAAAAAGAGATCAGATTGTCACTGTGTCTGTGTAGAAAGAAGTAGACATAGGAGGCTCCATTTTGTTCTGTACTAAGAAAAATTCTTCTGCCTTGAGATGCTGTTAATCTATGATCTTACCCCCAGCCCCGTGCTCTCTGAAACATGTGCTGTGTCCACTCAGGGTTAAATGGATTAAGGGCTGTGCAGGATGTGCTTTGTTAAACAGATGCTTGAAGGCAGCATGCTCGTTAAGCGTCATCACCACTCCCTAATCTCAAGTACCCAGGGACACAAACACTGCGGAAGGCCGCAGGGACCTCTTCCTAAGAAAGCCAGGTATTGTCCAAGGTTTATCCCCATGTGATAGTCTGAAATATGGCCTCATGGGAAGGGAAAGACCTGACCGTACCCCAGCCCGACACCCGTAAAGGGTCCGTGCTGAGGAGGATTAGTATAAGAGGAAGGCATGCCTCTTCGCAGTTGAGACAAGAGGAAGGCATCTGTCTCCTGCCCGTCCCTGGGCAATGGAATGTCTCAGTATAAAACCCGATTGTATATTCCATTTACTGAGATGGGGAAAACCGCCTTAGGGCTGGAGGTGGGACATGCGGGCAACAATACTGCTCTGTAAGGCATTGAGATGTTTATGTATATGCACATCAAAGCACAGCACTTAATTCTTTACCTTGTCTATGATGCAGAGACCTTTGTTCACGTGTTTATCTGCTGACCTTCTCTCCACTATTATCCTATGACCCTGCCACATCCCCCTCTCTGAGAAACACCCAAAAATGATCAATAAATACTAAGGGAACTCAGAGGCTGGCGGGATCCTCCATATGCTGAACGCTGGTCCCCTGGGTCCCCTTATTTCTTTCTCTATACTTTGTCTCTGTGTCTTTTTCTTTTCCAAGTCTCTCGTTCCACCTAACGAGAAACACCCACAGGTGTGGAGGGGCAACCCACCCCTTCAGGCTGCATCAGCAACTCAGTTATCCAGGCGCAGGTTCTAGGGTACCCACGTGTTGAGCTCAGTCCCTCTGACTCCCAAGCCAGGACTCTGTCTGACGGCACCTGCTTCGGTCAGGGCGTGGGAGATTGGCCTGGGCAGGCTCTTCCTCCCAAGGCAGGGTCAGTGTTGAGTAAAGGCCAGGACCATTTCCCCAGACAGGCAAGGCAGGGCCCAGGCCTGGGTCCAGGGCCTCTAAGTCCACGTCCCCACTTTGGCCACATGGGTCATGAGGGGTTTCTGTGTGAGTGGCCTTTTACACTTTCCCAAGCAATTTCCCCAGACATTATCTCATGTTATCCTCATGAGGACCACCCTGTGAGGTAGGAATTAGCAACCCTGTTTTAAAGGGGAAACTGAGGTAAGGTATGACGCTTTCCTGGCAGGGCCAGCCTCTGGCACAGCAACAGGGGGACAGTGAGGATGGCCAGATCTGGGTGCCCCTCCCCACTGCCTTCTCTTCCAAGCTACAGTCTTTTATTCAAATTCTTCTCCTCTTTTTCTCTCTCATTTCCCCTCCCCCGCTGCCATGTTTTTTATGCTTGTGGATGTCTCATGCAAGAGTGTTCAATAGCTCCTCCCAGCAGTCTTAGAAGGGAGTGTAAAGATGACCAGACACGGAACCCCGAGAGTTCACTGGGGGTTCCCAAAGGCATGTATAGGATCCAACGTGTTTTTTCTGCCTCCCACTCTGCCCCCTTTCAAGAAGTGCACCTGTGGTTCAAAGTTCAGCTTTTACTGCCGGTGCATGTGTAGGAGAGGACAGGGCAGGCTAGAGCCCTGCTAAGGGCCAGAGAATCTCATCCCACCCAGAGGAGGGTTCTTTTAGGCGGTGGGTACAAATCTCAGAACATCCCCACTGTATTGTTGAGAGGGTGAGGTGGGACATGTTGGGGGAAGAGCGAGCTGCAACCGGTGCAGCTGCGATTATTCAGAGCAGAGGTGGCTTCAGAGACAACATTAAGCTTAACCCTCAGGGGCCCTCTTTGCCTTGGGAGGAGCCCTATCAATGCTTTTGTCATGTGCTTTTGGAAAATATGTAGAAGACATTTTTACAAGTTGGTTGAGGCCTAGTGTCTCTTTTCAGTTCATATTCTCCCTCTGTCACGCGTCTGTCCTGTTGGAATGGCTGTGGCTATTTTGGATATGGCTAAGGGAGAAGGTAAAATTGGGGATCATTTTGTATGAGTTTAGTGGGACACATTTCTGGGCTTTGAAGTCACTTCTGTATCTACTAAAAATTGCTATAGTTATCTTTGTGCATAAATTACTTCTGGCTGATGTAAGCAAATCCCCGTATCGGGACTCAGCCGGGGAGGGTTTTTGGCTTTGCTCAGGAAGGAATTCAAGAGTGAGCTAACAGACAAAACTGAAAGCAAAGCAAGTTTATTAAAGCAACATTGTACAGCAAAATGGCTGCTCCACAGACAGAGCAGGGCTACCCCACAGGTAGAATAGCACTCCAGGATTGCTGGCTAGCTATATTTATACCCCCTGCTAATTATATGCTAAATAAGAGGCAGGTTATTCATAAACTAGGAACAGGAAGTTCCTGGAACCATATAAGATAATTCCTGGGTTATTGCCGTGGGATCATTTGTAAACTGTCATGGCCCTGGTGGGAGTATCTTATGCAAATGCATTTTAATTCCTATTCCGAGCTGGTTTTGGCCATTCTTTGTTATTGTTATGTTCTGTTTTGATCAGCAGGGTTTTGACAGGTGCTTGGAAAAATCCTGCTGATCTCCTCCCTCACAGGGACATGCCTACTGCCAAAGGAGAGACGGAATTATCTTTCTATTCTCCCCATAGAAAATATTACAAAATCACTGTCACACGAAAATGTGATCAAAGAGTCTGCAGCCAAGAAATATGGGGGGGACAGAGTGTTTTAAAGGCGAAGGTGTGTCTGTCACTTAGTAAAAATGTCAGGATTCTTTTTTTTCTGGAGTTTGTGGTGTTTGTCGGCTTTTCAAAATTTGTCATTCCTTTTCTTAATCTAAATAATCATTTTATAGAGAAAAAAAATTACTCATCAGTGTTGATGATGCCCTGGTTTTCTGTTCAGCTTTGTTTTCCAATCAACTCTTCACCCAAGACTCAATCCTCCACCCTCCAACTCTTCATCCAAGACTCAATTCACCCAACACTCAATCCTCCACCCTCCAACTCTTCACCCAAGACTCAATCCTCCACCCTCCAACTCTTCACCCAAGACTCAATCCTCCACCCTCCTCCAACTCTTCACCCAAGAGTCAATCCTCCCCTCCCAGTGTTTACTGATCAGCCTCCTATCAGCTATTAATGGGACCTCAAACATTCTCTATGGCTCTGTTCTCACGCAATGCAATCTGCTAATCTCTAGGAACTGCAGACCCCACTTAATGCATTTAAAGTATGTATAATGTGACCCAATAGCTTCTTTATCCCAAGCTTATTGATTCCTATAAGAATCATCATCCTCAAGTCACACATGAGGAAACTGAGGCCAAGGCCAATGCTAAGGCTGATGGAAGTGACAGATGTTGAAGATGACACAGCATGACACGAGGGATGAGGTCAAGGCTATTGATGAGGTCAAGACAGCTGTTGTGCTTTGTCCCAAGGCCATTCCAGTTGGTGACAAAATAACTATAACAGATTCCTGGCCAGGGCTTCTCCCTCACAGCAGCTGCCTCCTACTGGAGTCAGAAATGCCTTGGTTTATATAGTTTCATTCATAGGCTGTCTTAACTCTATTTAAGCAGAAAAGGGCTGAAATGTCTTGCCCAAGATCCCTCAGCTAGTAAGTGACAGATGCAGGTTTCAAATCCAGGTCGCTGGACTCAGGGCAGGGCCAGGGGGAATGAGGGCAAACAGACTGGCAGCTGATCAAACTGACACTGCCTTCCTGGTAAAGGGGACAGTGAGGAGAAATTGACAATAGCAGGAGGCTCTGACCACAACAGGCTGCCTCCAGTCTCTTCTCTCACCAGTGGCCCCCAAAGCCACGTGAGTTGGGCTTTCTGACCACACTTTATTGCATTTGCAGACCCTACATGCTTTAAACACACTTTTAGTATCTCACTGGGTCTCTAACAACCCCAGGAGTGGGCAGGGCAATAATTATTTCACAGTTGACAAAGCAGCTTCACGAAAACATTGGGAGCTCAATAACTTCCCTATTGGGATGCACCCCCAGGAGCTGTTCAGTTAATGTCATAGCAGGTTCAGGGAATGGGCTTAAACCCCAAGATATCCTACACCATTTTGTACACAGCAGGTTCTGTAGGGAGAAAACCAACAAGGTCTTCCCGGAGGGAATGGGCTTAAACCACAAGATATCCTATACCATTTTGTAAGCCTCCCTGTGATCATTTCCCATCCAAGTACTAACCAGGCCAGACCCTGCTTAGCTTCTGAGATCAGACGAGATTGGGCGTGTTCAGGGTGGTATGTGAAAGATTCTCCCCGGGGCCTGAAAGTTTGGGGGGATGAATAACTCCTCCCTTCTCAGGCCCAGTCCCAAGGCACAAGACCACTTGTGCTAGCAGCGTGTGTCAGCAAGATAGCAGAAGCAGGAAGAGAGCTGGCCAGGAGACACGTACCCCTGAAGATCAAGAGAGAGGCCATCTGGGTACCATGTAGCAGTTACATCAGACTGGGACACTTCCTGTTTACAGGAGACTATAAAACCCCTGCCCCGTCCTCACCTGGGGCTGACGCCATTTTAGGCCTCAGCCCATCTGCACCCAGGTGCTCATTAAAACAGCGTGTTGCTCCACACTGCCTTGTGTTCTTTGCTGGCAAGCTCTCGGGGTTCGAACCAACACAAGAGCCTTACAGTATGGCCGCAGATGTCTCCCAACATTTCACAGAACCTGGTCAGAATAAAACATTCCATGGGGGTTCAGGTCATAAAAAAATACTGCCTAACCACCTAACCACAGGAACATCTCTATTACATCCTGCTGGATGAAGGGCCCAAGGAACATCTTCAACATCCTGCAGGGGAGCAAGCTATACTGCCCCTTCTCCCCCGGTCCAGACCCATAACTGACAGAGCAGGAGCACTGCCATCTTGAACAAATACCACCATTCTAAGTTCCCCCTTCATTAAAAGCCGCCTAAATCCAGCCCCAAAACATCAGCCTAATGGCTAATGTCAGCATAACCAGAAATATTCCAACCCTAAGATAAACCCCTCTGACCAGAAACATGCCAACCCCGAGACAGCCTCCCTTCCGACCAGAGACATTCCAACCCCGCAATAAACTTTCCCTCACACAGAAACATTCGGAACCTACGATAAGACCCCTTCCAAAACCCTTAAATATCCTTAGTCTGTAACAGAAGTTAGTCTGAGCTAACTCGGCCAGAAGCCCCTCTCAAGTTTATTTTCTAAAATAAACCTGTCCTTGTTGACTGCCCAGCCACCCTTCGTGTTGCTTTCCTCTTCCTTATAGTAAATGTCCCAGTCTGTAAGTGGGACTCGTGCTCTGAGACTAAGCTGGTCCCCCCTCCACAGGTTTGTGCTGGCAATAAACCTGTGTTGCTGTTAAGCTGCCAACTCTTTAACCCTCACCTTCCCTTCAAAACCTAACAAAGATGAATGAGGCATGAACATGAAGACAGAGGGTCAAACCCAAAGAGCAGATTCCGTGAGAAGTCTCCCTATTGACAAGGGTTACTAAGGATGGGGTCTTCTCTGGACCCCCTAGTCTTAGACTTAGTCCACCACATCCAGAAGCCCTTGAAATAAGATTGCAGTGCTTCTGGCATAGCCAAAGACATAGACTTCTCTAAAAATCAGTGCCTAGCTCTCCCCAGGCTGGGCCCTAATTTTTAGTCCAAGCTGTATTATTTTGTAAATCTTCCTGCCATTTCATAGACCCTGGTCACAGTGAAACATTCTGCAGGGGTTTGGGCTGTAAGTAACATCCTCCCCAACTGTCTGACTTCTTTATCACATCTTGTTGGGACAAAGGTTTAAGAAATATTTTTATTAACATCCTCTTGGGCAGTAAGTCCTACCATTCCAGACCCCTCATCCAGGCCTATAATGATTCCAGCCTGTAAGTGCTAGTGGGGCTTTGGCATTAAGTTGGTCCCCACCTCTGTAGGTTGTGTTAATAAACCTGTGTTGTAGAGTGGTCAACTCTCTTGTCTTTAACCCTCGTCTTTTTTCAAAAACCTAACACTCATGTGTCCTCTCCCTCACCTTCTCCTGGCATCCCTTGCCACTGTCCCTCTGTCCCTCTTTCCCCTCCTTAACCCAAAGGGAAATCTCTCCCAAAGGTAAAAGTCTCCCAGGGGTTAAGAGGGAGCTTGAGGCACCAGAAAGAGCTATAGTCACAGCCACCTGTGAAAGCCATCTCTGAGGTCCCTTCCTGTCACAACAGCTGGGCTCCTGACTCAGACCAAGACAGCTTTTGTTTCTTTTCCTTTCTAGCCCCCCACTTCCCACCCACCTTTCTGCTTTCTCATATGGGCTCATTATGGTTTATAGGGCTGGGGAACGTTGCCTCTTCTGCCCTCCATTTCTCCCATCTCCCTTCTTTCCCCTCCACTTTTTCTGAGTCCACTTCTCTTCCCTTCTTCTTCCTTCCCTCTGGGACGCTGCACAGTTCCTTCCACCCGGCACGGCCTGGGACTCTAGACTCCCTCTGAAGGCACGGAAGTATTTCCTTCCCTCCCTCCGACCCGATCTTTCTGCCCTTGATTCAAAACAATCTGAGGTCCCTAGGCCCTTCCCTTTCCGCCTCTGCGCTCCCCATGGGGTCCGGTGTAGTTTTCCCGCCCCTTCCCTGCAGCTCCCGAGACCACCCGGACACAACGGAGCCATCCAGCGCCCTCAGAGGCCCTGGGCACACGGGCAGATGGTCACCGCCTCCTAAGGGAGCAGCGCGCGCCCGTTGCTCGCTGCCCGTTGGTTGTTGCTGGTAGCTCCGGAGGGCGGGGTTGGCGAGGAAAGTGAGTCCGTATGTCCCCAGCATGCTCCGCGCGGGGGCGGGGCTCTAAGGGGGCAGGCGAAGGCGGAACTGGCGTGGTCAAACCAACCTATCAGCCTCCAGCATGCTCCGTGTGGGAGCGGGGTTCCCGGGGGCGGGGCTTGGTTTGTGTGCCCTTCCGGCGTTTCGCCCCTGCGTTCTCTGAGATGCTCCCACGCAGATGTATGGGCCTAATTCGCTAATATCCACTCTATATCCTGTTCCATCCTCTTGTAATGGGCGTTTGGAGTGTTGCCAATTTTTTGCTGTTATAATGATTGTAATAGCATATTAAAAAACTTGAACATAGTTTGATTGTAATAACATTAAATATAGCATCTTAAACATACAGTTTGAGCGTGCCAACCTGATGGGTGTGGAATGTAATATTCATTATAACTTTGATTTTCATTTCCCTACTTTGAGTAAGTTTGAACTTCTCTTTATGTAATTATTGACTACTCTGTTTTCATGTTCTGAGAATTGCCTGTTTGTATTTTATGCCCATTTTTCTATTGGGTTGTGGTTTTTATTGATTGGTAGTTCTTTATAATTTTATGGATACCAGTCTTTTACTAGTTCAGCGCATTAATTGCAAATATTTGCTCCCACTCTGTGGCTTGCTTCCTTTCCACCCCTAATTCCTAGGGTGTCTTTTTGAAGCACAAATCTAAAATTGTAACACAGGCGACTATCAATCTTTTCCTCTATGATTTGAGCATTTTGTGTTTTGCTTAAAAACTCAGCCCTTGTCCCAAGGTCATAGAGATATTCTCCCGTATTTTCTACTGATCCATCCCCCATATTTAGGTCTTTGGTCCATCTGTATTAATGTTTATGTGTAATATGAGATAGGGATCCTACTTTATCTGTATTGTGTTAACCAAAAAATGACTGAGACAGGTGTCTCAATCAATAAAGGTTAATTTAGCCAAAGTTTGAGGACATGCCTGGGAAAAACACAAGTCTCAGTTCCTAATATTAACCGCTTGCATTTAGTAGAAATGACCTTCAAGGTTCTCTGTAGCAGAGATGTGGTTGAAAAAGGAAAGGAAGACATAGGGTTTGTAGATGGCCATAGCTTCACGGAAGAGCGAAAGAAGGGCAGGATATGTGGTTCTCTCCCTATGGAAAACCATAGAGGCCAAAAGCTTCCCTGCCCAAACTTCAGCCCCAAAGACTCAGATAATAGCCTTAACCAGAGCCCTGGCATGAAGAAAGGACAAGGCCTTGACTGTTTATACAGACTTGAGATATGTGCTCACTGTGATCCATGCCCATGGTGCAATCGGGTACGAAAGGGGACTTCTGAATGCCAATAACAAATAAATCAAATATGAAACATAAATATTGGCACTACTGCACAGTGGAAATGACTAGACAGATTGTGGGGGTCATCTAATGGGGGACTTTGAACTAATGAAGGGGAGCAACCTGGCACACACAGGGAGGGAAAGTCCCTGCTTCCTTCAGTACCTCTTTATGAATATAAACCAATAAACCAAGACACTCCCCTGGGGAATTACAGGAAGCCATGCGAGAGGGAGAGCATCAGAGTTCCCTCTCAGAGGGATGGGCCCTAAATAAGAGAGGCAGGATTTGGGTGCCCAGAAATCTGAGTTGGGCTATTATAAAGCCTGCCCATGATCTC